>NC_000017.11:8521414-8672929 GCF_000001405.40 Homo sapiens | reverse complement strand
GCCGAGGTGGGCGGATCATGAGGTCAGGAGATCGAGACCACGGTGAAATCCCGTCTCTACTAAAAATACAAAAAATTAGCCAGGCGCGGTGGCAGGCACCTGTAGTCCCAGCTACTGAGGAGGCTGAGGCAGGAGAATGGCGTGAACCCAGGAGGTGGAGCTTGCAGTGAGCCGAGATTGCACCACTGCACTCCAGCCTGGGCAACAGAGCAAGACTCCTTCTCAAAAAAATAAATAAATAAATAAATAAAGATTGCTCTGTATAAGTCTGGGGGCGGAGTACTATTAAGTGAGAACATTGCTGAATTTTCCAGGGATGTCCCTGCCCTGGATGATACAGTGGGAAAGCATGCTGGATTAGGAGTGAGGACTCGAATTCCTCCCTGAGCTCTGCGGGCCTTGGTTTCTGCAACGGTTAAATAACCATGACAAACTGGGTGATCTTTTGAAATCTAGGATTCTTTGGCCTATTGTGGTTCCCCTCCCACAGGCATCAGGGTGGTGGGTGAGGGTGAGGGCGGCGGGAGGGAGAAGTCTGGGAAGGAGACATTAGCTTGAGACGAGGATAACTTAATGTCTTCATCCTTTGACCTCGACGTTTTAATTGTTTAACCTACAGTTGACTCTTGAACAACACGGATTTGAACTGTGCAGGTCCACCATATACGTGGATTTTCTTCCACCTCTGAGATAGCAAGACCAACCCCTCCTCTTCCTCTTCCTCCTCAGCCTACTCAATGTGAAGGTGATGAGGATGAAGAACCTTATGATGATCTACTTCCACTTAAGGAGTAGCAAATATATTTTATCTTCCTTATGATTTTTTTCTCTTTTTTTTCTTTTTTTCTTTTTCTTTTTTGAGATAGAGTATAGCTCCTTTGCCCAGGCTGGAGTGCCGTGGTGTGATCTTGGTTCACCACAACCTCCGCCTCCTGGATTGAAGCGATTCTTCTGCCTTAGCCTCCGGAGTAGCTGGGACTACAGGCGTATGCCACTGTGCCTGGCCCCTTACGATTTTCTTAATAACATTTTATTTTCTGTGGCTTACTTTATTGGGTTTTTTGGGGGCTTTTTGGTTTTTGTTTTTTTGAGAGAGGGTCTGTTGCCCAGGCTGGAGTGCAGTGGCACTATCTTAGCTCACTGCAACCTCCTTCTCCTGGGTTCAAGCGATTTTCCTGCCTCAGCCCCCAAGTAGCTGAGATTACAGGCACACACCACCACACCCGGCTAATTTTTGTATTTTTAGATGGGTTTTCACCACGTTGGCCAGGCTGGTCTTGAACTCCTTACCTCAAGTGATCCACCCACCTTGGCCTCCCAAAGTGCTGGGATTATAGGCATGAGCCACCGCACCCGGCCTTTGGCTTACTAATATATATATATATATATATATATATATATATATATATATATATATATATATGGTTTTTTTTAATTTTTCCCCGAGACGGAGTCTCACTCTGTCACCCAGGCTGGAGTGCAGTGGTGCGATCTTGGCTCACTGCAACCTCTGCCTCCCAGGTTAAAGCAATTCTTCTGCCTCAGCCTCCCGAGTAGCTGGTACTACAGGTGCATATCATCACGCCCGGCTAATATTTTGTATTTTTAGTAGAGACAGGGTTTCACCATGTTGGCCAGGCTGATCTCAAACTCCTGACCTCGTGATCCACCTGCCTCGGCCTCCCAAAGTGGTGGGATTACAGGCGTGAGCCACCGTGCCCAGTCAGGTTACTTTATTGTAAGAATACAACATATAATACATATAACACACAAAATATGTGTTAATTGTTTATGTGATCAGCATGGCTTCCAGTCAGCAGAAGGCTATTAGTAAAGTTTGGGGGAGTAAAAAAAAAATTGTACGTGGATTTTCAGCTGCGTGGTTGTCGGCGCGAGTAAACCGCCCCCCCCCCGCCCCCGCCCCACGCCCGCCACTTTGTTGTTCAGAGGTCAGCTGTATTTTCTTTTATGAGGGAAAGCCATATTTTGCTCTTTCCTCACCTTTGTGCTTCGGGATCCAAACACTTCTTGGATAGTTCTCTCTCAGTTGTTCTTTCGCCTCTAGAGCTGGTATCATAGTTGTGAACTTCTCTTTTGACCTTCCCCTCCGCAATCAGTCTAACGGCTACTGGGAAAGAATGAGCTGCTGTGTCTCCTCTTCCACTTTTCTCTGCTTAGCCTGGCTTTCCTTTTCTTCCACTATTAGAAACACACACAAAAAAGAAAAGTCCCACGTGTTTGTCTCCAGACCATGAGGGTAAACCTCAGGAATGACGCTTTCCTCTAGGAGTTAAGTACTTTTCCTCTTCAAAAGTAAAGTCTTCCCTCTCCCGATAGGAATCTCTGGCTGCTGCTTGAATTTTAAATATAATAACCAGGTTTATACATTAAGCAAGCTTTGCCTGGTTCCCTCAGCAACAGCTCTAACTTGGATAGCTTGCCATAGCATGTTCTAAAGGAACTTGTGCATTTCATTATAATAACATCCCACTTATTCAGAAGGGAAGAAATCTTAACTTTTCAGAAAGACGGAAAGCTAAAATTAGGCCATGAACCAAAACAAAACCTTTTAAGCCCCTCGAATAACCTTCACAATGTCCTGCTCTAAAGACAAGAGCGGCCAGGTGCGGTGGCTCATGCCTGTAATCCCAGCACTTTGGGAGGCCGAGGCGGGTGGATCATGATGTCAGGAGTTCAAGACCAGCCTGGCCAAGATGGTGAAACCCCGTCTCTACTAAAAAAACTACAAAAATTAGCCAGGCGCGGTGGCGCACGCCTGTAATCCCAGCTACTTGGGAGGCTGAGGCAGAATAATTGCTTGAACCTGGGCAGCAGAGGTTGCAGTGAGCTGAGACTGCGCTACTGCACTCCAGCCAGGGGACAGAGAGAGACTCTGTCTCAAAAAAAAAACAAACAAACAAAAAAAAAAAAAAACACAAGAACTTTACTTGCAAGAAAGTCTTAAGGCCCTGTGATTCTGTTTACTCTTTTTTTTTTTAACACATCCTTCTCCACTGCGAATAAAAAATAGGGAGGGGCTGCTAGAAGTAGACACAGTTAGCACAGTGTCAACCCATATGGTAGCCTGAAGACAAAGGAGACAGAAAAACTCAAAAAAAGAGCAGGCATAGATCTGTGCTGTGACAGTTTTGACAGATTCCAATCAAAATGGATAAAATAAAGTGTTGGGTTTTGTAGAGATAAGCTTCAGTTATCCGGAAAGCTCATTGCATTCAGCGCCACCAGAGCTGTCCAATGGAAGCATCACTGTGTTTTGAACCAAAAAATCTAGCAAGGCATTCATACAAAGATTTCCAGTCTATTCATTGGATGAATCCCCAGTGGTATGTATGGCAGTGGGGGAGCTGGTGAGATCTTGGCTAAGACTGAAGCCCTGGATTTTACGAAAGTTTGATGATTCTGTGCAGGAAAAACTGATATATTAAATGCACAGCAGTCCTTATGTTTAGGCATAGGTGGGGGTTTTAGCCTGTGGGCAACTTGCAGTGTTGATTTAGGGAAAATACTTTAATGGGCCTTTGATTCTGTAAAGATAAAGTCAACATCCAGTTGTGGAATGGGGACTGCTGTGTTCTGCCTAATAACAGAAATGATTATCTTTCCTGAGGGCAGAGCTGTAGGACGGCCCTATTTCTAAAAGTATTGTTTCTTCTGGGGAGATGTGTAATGCAGTCTTGTCCAAGACTGGGAGCAGAGAGCGGAAGATGCAGGAAAAACTGCTAGAGTCAAATCTCTGCCCCCAGACTGACAGAGGTCCCCTAAGGCAGTAGGATGATGACAGCCTAAAGCAACCTGACTCACCCACTGACGTTTCCCCAGGCCCGGTTATTCAAGAACAACTGTGCAAGTGGGGAAAGGGAATGCGGAAATGTAAAGCAGCACCGCTATTATGGAAAACTGTATGGCAGTTTCTCGAAAAACTAAAAATAGGCCGAGGCCAAGCACGGTGGCTCACGCCTGTAATCCCAGCACTTTGGGAGGCCGAGGCGGGTGGATCACCTGAGGCCAGGAGTTTGAGACCAGCCTGACCAACATGATGAAACCCCATCTCTACTAAAAATACAAAATTAGCCAGGCATGGTGGTGCGTGCCTGTAATCCCAGATACTTGGGAGCCTGAGGCAGGAGAATCACTTGAACCCAGAGGCAGAGGTTGTGGTGAGCCAAGATTGCACCATTGCACTCCAGCCTGGGTAACAAGAGCGAAACTGTCTCAAAAAAAAAAAAAAAGAAAAAGAAAAACTAAAAATGGAATAAGCATATGATGTAGAATAACCATATGATACAGCAATCCAACTTCTGGCTATTTACCCAAAAGATTTGAAATCAATTTCTCAAAGAGATGTCTGCACTCCCTTGTTATCACTGTGCCCTAGGGCCTCACAGCAGCCAAATTACAGCATCAACATAAGTGTCCATCAACAGATGAATGAATAAAGAAAATGTATATAGACACAATGGAATGTTATTCAGTCTTTAAAAAGAAGGAAATTCTGTCATTTGTGACAACAGAGAACAAAGTAAAGAACATCCTACTAAGCGAGATAAGCCAGGCACTGAAAGACAAATACCACATGTTCTCGCTTACATGTAGACTCTAAGACAATGGAACTTGTAGAAGCAGAGAGTAGAATGTTGGTTACAGAGGCTGGGGATGGGAGAAATGGAGAGAAGATGGTGAAAGGGTACAAAAATCTTAGAAGGAATACTTTTTTTTTGAGATCTATTGCGCAGCATGGTGAATATAGATAATAATAGTGTATTGTATATTTCAAAATTGCTAAGAGAGTACATTTCAAATATTCTCATCACAAAAATGAAAAGCATTTAATTAGCTTGATTTAATTCATCTGTGTTATATTCATAAATCATAGCATCACCTTGTGCTCCATAAATATATACAATTATAAATTGTCAATTTACAATAAAATAAAAAAGAACAACAATGCAAGATAGACTTCAGGAAATGTGCTGATCCCAGAGTATTGTTCTCATGCCATTAGGAGGCAAAGGACAAGACCACATTCTTGGGCTGGGGGTTCCCCTGAAAGGAATGACTATTTCATGATCAGTCATCCTGGGGCCAGAATTAGGGACTTGGAAGGAGCCTTGGACTCTTGGAGGGGAAACCTGCTCCCTGTTCTTGGAGCTTTGCGGGTTGAAAAGACAGGAGGGAGGGTTTCTCCAGGACTCCCTTGTTATGGGAAATAAGTTGGATTCTGCAACAGAGGACATGTCAGAGACTACAGAGAGACACCCAGAAGAGGCAGGGTTGCCAGATAAAATGCTGGATGCCTAGTTACATTTGAATTTCAGATAAACAATGAATAATATTACAGTGTAACTATATTCCAAATATTGCCTGGGACATACTTACTGTAAAAAAATTATTCATGGCCGGGCGCGGTGGCTCACGCCTGTAATCCCAGTACTTTGGGAGGCCGAGATGGGCAGATCACAAGGTCAGGAGTTCGAGACCAGCCTGGTCAACATGGTGAAACCCCGTCTCTACTAAAAATACAAAAATTAGCTGGGCATGGCGGCAGGCACCTGTAATCCCAGCTAATTGGGAGGCTGAGGCAGGAGAATCATTAGAACCTGGGAGGCAGAGGTTGCAGTGAGCTGAGATTGCACCATTGCACTCCAGCCTGGGTGACAGGGTGAGACTCCATCTCAAAAAATAATAATAATAATTAAATTAAATAAATTATTCATTGCTCATCTGAAATTCAAATTTAACTGGGAGTCCGGTATTTTTATTTGCTAAATCTGGCAACCCTAAGGAAGGGACCTCTGTAAAGACCCTCCATTCTGTCCTTTCTGTCACCTTGGCTTTTCTTTAGTCCCCTTATGTGGCAAAGTCGGCTCTAGCCTTGCTGGGAACACTCGAGGGAGGGTGTCTGTGCCCCATGCTTGGGGTGAAGCCATACTGGAGGGAGGGCAGCCACTGCCAGAGGAGTCAGACTCCAGACTGAGGAGGGGTCCTTGGAGAGAAGAGAGTGGGGAAGTGACGCAGAATCACAGAGCTGATGAGGGTGGAGTGGGGATCTGCGTGGATTTGTAGCTCTCATGAGCATTTCTGCTAGTGTACTAGAAGACTCATGGAGGAGAACCTGGTAAAATTGTGTGTTCAAGGGGACTGGGGCCCTTGGCTACTGTGACTTTGACAGCAAATGGCGGTGTGACCTCATAGCTGGTGAAGTCTGGGCACTTGGGTTAGGGACATTTCTAAGCAACAGCCTCCTTTTTTTTTTTTTTTTTTCAATCGATGGAGTGTCACTCTGTCACCCAGTCTGGAGTGCAGGGGTGCGATCTCACTGCAACCCCCGCCTCCCGGGTTCAAGCGATTCTCCTGCCTCAGCCTCCTGAGTAGCTGGGATTACAGGCGCACGCCACCACGCCCAGCTAATTTTTCTATTTTTGGTAGAGACGGGCTTTCACCATGTTGGTCAGGCTGGTCTCGAACTCCTGACGTTGTGATCCGCCTGCCTTGGCCTCCCAAAGTGCTGGGATTACAGGTGTGAGCCACCATGCCCAGCCAGTAATGGCCTCCTTTAACCTCCAAGTTATCATCACAGGATGTTAACATCCAAATTTTCCTGTTGTCTCCATTTCAGATGAGGTCCCAAGCTGAGAACATAAAATGTTAGATGCCCACATGGTCTAAAGAACAGCTGTAAATCATCTATGCAGAGTTCGCTTAAGAATGATCCAAAAAAGCCAGCGTGGGGACTCTTGAGTATCAGCCTCTGGAGGCTATATAGGCGCTGCTAAGAACTTCACTCAGAGATCAGAAAGGGAACGATTCCCCCAAGTACTGGGATGGGGTACACAGGGCAGTAGGGGATTCCCTTTCCATCCTCAAGACAGAGAAATATACCTTCAAGGGCTTAGAGAGCCTGGCCTGTGTGCCCTGGGAGGCCTCACCCTGGAGCCTGCTAGGCCTGGGAAATAAAAGTGAAGCAGCTCAGAGCAGCTGCCCAGAACATGCTGCACTTGCATTGAGTGGCAGGTCACAGATGAGTGGACTTTCCTGTGGGCCCTGTGCACCTGTAGAAGGTGGCTGTGCTTCAGTTATCTTGAAAAAAGAGCCCCCCCACCACACACACACACCCTATGATGAATCTGAAAGGAATTATGCTGAATGTAAGAAACCAGACAAATCAATGATGCCAGAAAGCAAATTAGTGCTGCCTGAAGACGGGGGAAAGACGGGAGGGAGGAAATACTAAGGGCCGTGAAGAAACTTTTGAGAGTGACAAAAGTGTTCTCTATCTTGATTGTGGTTCATGGGTCTCTTCAAAAGTCAAAAATTACCCAATAGTGCACCTGAATTATGCGCAGTTTGTTGTATGCCAACTGTGTCTCAATAGAGCTGTTTCACAAAAAAGGGACTGCCTCTGAGAGGGTTTTGTGCCAGGAGAAAGAGGTTGGATGTGGAAGATGGAGTGGAGGAAAGGAAGATCAGAAGTGGTTAGCCACGCCAGGCGCGGTGGCTCAAGCCTGCAATCCCAGCACTTTGGGAGGCCAAGGTGGGTGGATCACAAGGTCAAGAGATTGAGACCATCCTGGCCAACATGGTGAAACCCCGTCTCTACTAAAAATACAAAAATTAGCTGGGCATTGTGGCGTGCGCCTGTAGTCCCAGCTACTTGGGAGACTGAGGCAAGAGAATTGCTTGAACCCAGGAAGCAGAGGTTGCAGTGAACCAAGATCCCACCACTGCACTCCACCCTGGCGACAGAGCAAGACTCCGTCTCAAAAAAAAAAAAAAGTGGTTAGCCAGAGAGTATGTTCCCCGGGCCAGAAAGGGGTGCCATGCAGTGTCCCAACAGACTTTCTGGGGGATCCATCATAGAGGCCCTTGTCACAAAGAGGCAACATGGGACCTCCTGCCAAACCCAGAGGGCACTAAAGCCAAGTGAGAATTTTCCCTGCCTCTTACCCCCACCCCACTCCCAGCCCCCATTTTGCAAGAGCTTGAGGTAGCCAGGTGAGTGGAGGAGGCGTGGAAGGGAAATAAGGAGGAAGCCAGCCGTGACTCCCTTCCTACTGCAAATTCCAAACCTGAGGCAGGAGAGCAGCTTTCAAATAGTTGGGAAGTTAGTGTTTTGATATTAGGCTTGGTCTCAGTTTTTAAATCTCTAATGATGAATAGTTTGTTAATTCCTGCAAGACTGCGACATGGAAAAAATAAAGTTGTTTCTGGTTTTGCATACCAATGAGTCTGGCTCCTTCAGTAACCTATTATGTTTTGTTTTGTTTTTTTTTTTTGAGACGGAGTCTAGCTCTGGCTGGAATGCAGTGGTGCGATCTCGGCTCACCGCAACCTCCGCCTCCCAGGTTCAAGAGATTCTCTTGCCTCCGCTTCCAGAGTAGTTGGGATTACAGTCATGCGCCGCCACACCCAGCTGATTTTTGTATTTTTAGTAGAGACAGGGTTTCACCATGTTGGCCAGGCTGGTCTTGATCTCCTGACCTTGTGATCCACCCACCTCGGCCTCCCAAAGTGCTGGGGTTACAGGCATGAGCCACCACGCCCGGCCACCTGTTGTTTTCTTACACAGAGTCATCTACCTGGTCTCCTCTACCTACTGAGAAACAAATGATCTGCCAGTTATTCTTAATTACCTCCATGGGAAATGAAGAAAAACGGCATGCGTGGAGATACTGTCAGCTAAAGGAGTTTTGAAGGAAAACAACAGACACTTTCAGAGGCAATTAGTCAAGTGGTTGAGAGCATGGACTATGAAGCCAGGCTGCCCAGATGTGAATCCTAGTTCTCCCACTTCCTGGTTGGATGAGATTCTTTAAGCTGCACAGTCTCTGCCTTGGTTCCTTCATTTGTTAAATGGTGATAATGATAATAGCTCACACTAAGTTGTTCTGTGATAACAAACAACTCCAAACACTCGGTGGCTTACAGGAACAAAGATGTATTTCTTGCTTATATCACATGTCCATTGCAGGCTGGCTTTAGCCTTTCCCTCTGGAACCAGACTGAAGGAGGAGCCCTTATCTACATCATTGCTGGTGTTAGGGCAGCAGGAAGTATGGTTGATGGTGGATCCATGAAACGGCTCTTTAGGCTTCTTCTTGAAAATGATGTATGTGTCTTCTGTCTACATTTCCTTGGCAAAACAGTTACATGGCTAAGCTTGATGTCAACATGGTAGGGAGGTGTAATCCTCCCACAAAGAGGTACAGAGAACATATGGGACAATAATATAGTCTATCTCAATACCTATCTATGTAAAGCACTTAAAATTGCACCTGAGAAAGCCATGAAGTGCTATATAAGGGCTAATTAATACTTCTTTTCCATTTGAATTTCTTTCGTCGTTTTCCTAAGGAGGCTGGTTGCTCTCAGACCCTGATTTAGAAACAGTCCCCACATTGGGAACTACCCAATTTGGCAAGAACCACCAAAACGCCCAGGAGAAATTCTAACTGAGAAGTAGTTGGAACCTGGACCTCAAAGCCTGATTTAAGGGTCTTGCTGAGACATTTTAATGAGGAGGAATATATAATTTGTTTTCCTGGGCCAGTCTCTGGAACTGTCTCCCTGAAAGACAGGCATCAAGGTAATGGATGATCATGTCTCAGCTATTTCAGGATGGCTAGGCCTGTAAAGCTCAGCCTCTGCAAAGTTATTCTTAACTCGCTTGTCTCCAGGCAGACAGCAGTAGCTCCTTCTGTTAAATGCTTAGATCATGGATGGAGCAAGCGCAGGCTCTGGGCCAGCGACCCTGTTTCCTGGCCAACAACTTTTTCATGAAGCTCGATGGGGACCCAGACTACCCCATGGCAGTCCTGACACAGAATTTCTTCCGTTTGTGTATTTAGTTTTGAGTTTCCAACAGGGCAGTCAGAGAGTGGGACTGGGGTTGTCACCAGAGCAGAGGGAATGGGGATTGTTCCACCACCCCTGACCCTTGAGGCCAGAGCGGCCAATGGACAGGGCCATTCTTGGGTCTCCAAGACTCTTCTTAGCCCTTTAGAGCATTTCAAAGCTGTCCCATCTAAAGGATGCGAGAGACCAAAACTCCAACTATTGTAAGTGAGGAACTAAAGCAGATAAGCTGTATTTTAGTTCTTACTAGGGCAGCTTTCATTTTATTCTAATGGCTTGCAAATCATTTCAGAATGTACCATACAGCTAATCTCTCCCTCACCTTATCTTGTTTCTCCTTATCAGTTCAATTTAAACAGGGAAATATTTATAGATTATTGTCTTTCTTTCTCTTTCTTTCTTTCTTTCCTTCCTTTCTTCCTTTCTTTTCCTTCCTTCCTTTCTTTCTTCCTTCCTTCCTTCTCTCTCTCTTTCTTTCTTTTCTTTCGTTCATTCTTTCTTTTTTTTGAGACAGAGTCTCATTCAGTCACCCAGGCTGGAGGGCAGTGGCATGATCATAGCTCACTGCAGCCTTAAACTCCTTGGCTCAAGTAATCTCCCAACCTCAGCCTCCCCAGTAGCTGAGACTATATGGCTACCCCCACACTCAGCTAATTTTTTATAAAAAAAAGTTGTGTAGAGACAGTGTTTTGCTGTGTTGATCAGGCTGGTCTCGAATTCCTGGCCTCAAACGATCTTCCCATCTCAGCCTCCCAAAGTGCTGGAATTACAGGGATGAGCCACTGTGCCCAGCTTATAGATTGTTTTCTGATGAGTAACACAGGTACTGACCAAGGGCTTTGGACCATACAGACAAGGTTTGAGTTCCAGTCCTGTCCCTCACAAGCTCTAAATTAGTAAGTTCACAAGTATCTCAACCGCAGGGACAAAGGTGATGCAGCTACAGCAGAGATTGGGAGCATCAGACATTCATGCCATAGGTAGGTGATGGAGACTTCCTGGAGAATGTGGCAAACTGAGCTGGGTTTCAAAGGATGATGTTGTGGGTTGAATTGTGTACCCCAAATAGATTTGGGGTCCTAACCCCTGGTACCTGTGAATGTGACCTTACTTGGAAATAGGGTCTTTGTAAATATAACCATGTTAAGATGGAAGTCGTACTGGATTAAGGTAGGTCCTAAACCAGTGACTGGTGTCCTTATAAGAAGAGGGAAATTTGGACCCAGACACAGGGGAAATGGCACATAACAACAAAGGCAGAGGTTGGAGTGATGTGTCTACCAGCCAAGGAGGGCCAAGGATTTCCGGCAGCCACTAGAAACTAGAGAGAGGAGATGAAGAGTCCTTCCCTAGAGTCTTCAGAGAGAGCATGGCCCTGCTGACACCCTGATTTCAGACTTACAGCTTCCAGAATTGTGAAAGAATACATTTTGGTTGGTACAAGCCACCCAGTTTGTGGTCATTTTTTAATGGCAGCTCTAAGGAGCTAATATAGATGGCTAGGACTTAGAGATAGAGGAAAGGACTCTGTAGACAGCTATGGTGAGCAAATCTAACAACTCTTGAAAGCATATAGCGTCTTCGGGGAATAAATAGTAATTTGATGTGACTGGAGCAAAGGAGGTGGAAAGAATTCAGAAAGAGCCAAATATAGTGGAAGATGATGATAGAAATATAGGCTAGACGGCCAGACGCAGTGGCTCACACCTGTAATCTTAACACATTGAGAGGCCAAGGCTGGAGAATTGCTTGAGCTCAGGAGTTTGAGACCAGCCTGGGCAACATGGCAAAACCCTGTCTCTACTAAAAATATAAAAATTATCCAGGCGTCGTGGCGCACACCTGTAGTCCTAGCTACTCGGGAGGCTGAGGTGAGAGGATGGCTTGAGCCTGGAGGCAGAGGTTTCAGTGAGCCAAAATTGTGCCACTGCACTCCAGCCTGGGCAACAGAGGGAGACCCTGTCTCAGAAAAGAAAGAGAGAGAGAGGGAAGGAGAGAGAGAAAGAGAAGGGCAGAGGAAGGAAGGAAGGAAGGAAGGAAAGAAAAATAGAAGAAGGAAGGAAAGAAAGGGAGGAAAGAAGGAAGGAAGGAGAGAGAGGAAAGGAAGGAAGGAGAGAGAAAAAGAGAAAGAAGAGGGAGGAAGGAAGGAAGGAGGAAAGGAAGGAAGGAGGAAAAGAGAGAGAGGAAGGGAGGGAGGGAGGATGGAAGGAAGGAAGGAAGGAAGGAAGGAAGGAAGGAAAGAAGGAAGGAAGGAAGGGAGGAAAGAAGGAAGGAAGGAAGGAAGGAAGGAAGGAAGGAAGGAAGGAAGGAAGGAAAGCTGAAACCATCAGTGCCAGGCTGGGGAGACTGGCCTTTATCCAGTCATGTTTTTGCGTGTCTCAGTGGACAGACAGGAGTCCTTTATTCTGTCTCTGATTTGCTCTTCCTTGCCAATCATGCCTTGCTTTCATCAGAGGTCTGAACAGTGCTTGAGAGACATACTTTTCATTATTTGGGGTAAGACATTGCCATCTCAGCATGACTTTGAGTTTCTTTTTGTCCTTCTCACTGGTTTAGGCCCCAGCAAGGTTAGATGATGCTGGGCTTAGAGCCACAGGATGGATGACTTAAAGGTAGGGACAGGGTCTCATTTGCCTTTGAATCCTCAGCACATAGCATAGTGTAGGTGACATGTATTATTCAGGACTTTAGCTGTAAGTAAGAGAAACATAATTTTGCTTAAGCAAGGAGGAAATGCATTGGCTTACAAAACTGGGGGGGAAAATGAAAGGGTGTATTTTTTTCCTAGTGCTGCTCTAAGAAATGACCACAAACACGTGTGGTTTAAAACAACAGAAACTTACTCTCTTACAGTTCTGGAGGCTAGAGGTCTGAAACCAAGATGGCAGCAAGGTTGGCTCCTTCTGAAGGCACTTGGGGAGATTCTGTTCCATGCCCTTCTCTTAGCTTTGGGTGTTGCCAACAATCCTGGGCCTTCCTTGGCTTGCAAACTCATCACCCCAATCTCTGCCTTCATCATCAACTGAGGCTCTCCCTGTGTGCCTGTCTCTGCATTTCTTCTCTTCTTATAAGGACAGCTGTCATCATGGATTAGGGCCCACCCTAATGAAGTATGACATCATCTTAAGTTGATTACATCTGCAAACACCCTACGTCCAAATGAAGGCACATTCACAGGTACCGGAGGTGAGGACTTCAACATATTGTTTTGGGAATACAATTCAACCCACAACAGAGGGATAGCTGGTTTCAGGTGTGGCTGGTTTCAGAGAGTCAAGCAATATCATCAAGGCTCTGTCTCTTTAATGTTCAGATAGGCTCTCTGCCTTTATGGCCACTAGCAGCCCAATGATATATGTATATGGTGATGATACACGTGGGCTTCGACAGGAGTGGCAGTAAACAGCTCTTGTATTTCATGGTTGTGGAGGCCAAGAGGGATAATGAATCAGGAAAGATGAGAACAAGGCATGCTTGGTGATCAAGAGCAAATCAGAGACAGATTAAAAACAGTCTAGATAAGACAGACAGAGAGGGGATGGGGTGGTGCCAGTGGAATAGAGCTATTATGTCCAGGTGCCCTGGACAACTTGTTACCTGGTTGGGTGGGACAATTCACAATAAAGGGTTCAATAAAGAATAGGTGCCCAATACCAGGCTTGAGAAAAGCACTGTTTTTATGTACAGCTTGGTATCTCCTGCCAGGATTGGTGGGCTGGGATCTGTTGTTTTCCCTATGCGACTTCCATTCCCCATTTCTTTGGTGATAGCACCATCCTTTTCCTTTAGGGTAATCCCCACCACCACCACTGCCTCCACCTCCAGCTCCAGCTCCTGGGGTCTCCAGATAGCACAGGCTGGGCCATCAGGAGACTCCATCCCCTTGACCACAGTGATTGGCTCAGGGAAAGAGCTCCTGTCTGTCTAGCGAGTCCTAATCCCTAGACTTTTTCTGGAACTACTGGGGAAGAGAAGTGCTCTTTTCGGCGAGGAGGTTGTTAAACTGGTAGGATGTAAGTGTGAGGCTGCTCAGAACCATCTGTGCCACCACATGGGAGAGACTGCCTGTAAAGGAAATCAAGACAGAAAAGAGCAGAGCGGAGAAACGCAGAGGGAGAACCTGAGGCTCGGGGACATGGTTTGAGCAAATGCATGTGGCCAGGCCTGAAACAATGTCTTCCCAGGCACTTTGCAGGGTTCACATGGGCCACTGGATTCCCTTCTCTGCTTTAGCTACAGCAAGAGTCCACATTCCACAGGCCTGCTTCTCAAAGGCACCTCAGCCTTTGGTTGGGATGGACCCCAGAGGGTTAAACGTAGCCCTGGTGCCTGGCACATCCAAGGAGTTGGGGCAGGCGGTTGTAAGGAGTTCCACTTTCTCCCCTTGCCCTCAAGTGTTTTGTTACAAAGAAAGCAGAGGCTGAGTCAGTGGTTCCTTGAGTTGCTCTGGTCTTCCCCCAGGTTGTGCCAGTGGGGACCACGCTTTCTCTGAATTTCTTGGCCTGCTGTGGCTAATACGGAGTCATAAGCAGTCACGTCGGCCGCCTTTGCTAAAAATTGTCTTTATTTAATTCCAGGTGGATACCTTGCATTTAGCACTTCTTGCTTTCACATCTCATTTGATCTTTACAACAACCATGTAACAGAAGCAAGACTGATATTATCATTATTGTTATTTCCACCAACATACAGATGAGGAAACTGAACTGATAGTTTAACGATGCATGACTACAGTGTGATTGCTGCTGAGCTATAACCACAAAATGAGACTGGGCCCCATTTGTTCATCTATCCACCTATTCATCCAAAAAATATTTATTAAGGGTCTACAAGAGCCAAACTCTTTGCTACTTTCCTTTTTTTTTCTTTTTGAGATGGAGTCTGGCTCTGTCGCCCAGGCTAGAGTGCAGTGGCGCAATCTCAGCTCACTGCAAGCTCTGCCTCCCGGGTTCACCCCATTCTCCTGCCTCAGCCTCCTGAGTAGCTGGGACTACAGGCGCCCACCACCACGCCTGGCTGGTTTTTTTTGTATTTTTAGTAGAGACGGAGTTTCACCATGTTGGCCAGGATGGTCTCGATCTCCTGAACTCGCGGTCCACCTACCTTGGCCTCCCAAAGTGCTGGGATTACAGGTGTGAGCCACCACGCCTGGCTGCTAGTTTCAATAATGAGTTTAAAATAAGTAAATAAGATGTGAATCTTACCTTCAAGGATTTCATGGTCTCTGCGGAATGATAAAGACATGTTTCCAAATTATAATGTTAAAAAGGAAGGAAAGGGTATGTTTTATGAAAGGCCTTGGTAAAATGCTGTGGAAATTCAGGAGAAAGAGATTATTTCTACCTGTGGGGATTGACATTTGTGGACATCTTTGGAAAGCAAGTAGAATTTGGATGTACATGAATGAATGAAGTGGATTCCAGGAGGAGGGAAAGCATGAACAAAAATAAAACCATGGGGGGTCAAATGGATAAGCCAAAATCTGGACTTGGCTCAAGCACAAGTCATGTGAGAGGAAGATAGGAGAGCTTGCAGAGTTGGGTTCAGAGATCCATAAGGCCAAGCTAAAGAGATTGGGCTGTATTCTGTTGATGATAACTTTTTTTTTTTTTTTTTAAGCAGTAACTCCTTCATAGAAACTAATCTATGCCATGCAGAGGGTAGTTAAAAGGATAGGTAGGAGACTGAATGTAGGGATCAGTTTTCCAGGCAAGAAGTTATAAGGTCCAGAGTAGGCTAATGTTCTGGTTATTTATAGCTGTATTAACATATCACCCCCAAAACTTAAGGTCTCAAAATGGAAACTTTTTTTTTTTATTTTAGAGACGGGATCTTGCTCTATCATGCAGGCTGGAGTGCATGGCATGATCATAGCTCACTGTAACCTTGAACTCCTGGACTCAAGCAATCTCCCACCTCAGCCTCTCAAGTAGCTAGATTACAGGTGTGCACCACCACAGCCAGCTAATTTTTTACTTCTTGTAGAGATGGGGTCTCTCTATGTTGTACAGGCTGGTCTCAAACTCCTGGCCTCAAGCAATCATCCCGCCTCAGCCTGCCTAAGTGCTGGGGGTTAGAGGCTTGAGCCACTGTGCCCCGCCAACAACAGTTTTATTATATCTCACAACTGTGTGGATCAGGAATTTGGGTAGGGCTCAGCTGGGTGATTCTTCTGTTCCGTATAGCATTATCTGGAGTCACTCAGTGGTATTCAGCTGGTAGGCTGGAAGGCCCAAGATAGCTTCCCTCACATGCCTGGCTTCTTGAAAGAAACGGCTGGAAGGCTGACCTCAGTTGATCTCTTCTCCTTCTCCATATAGTTCCAGGGTCTTTCTAGCTGTCCAGGGCTCTAAGAGTGAGGGTTTGAGAGAGGAAGTGGAAATTGCAGATCTCTTAAGTCCTGGGCCTGTAGAGTGACACAGCATCATTTGTATCATAGGTATTGGTTCAACTAGTTACAGAGCCCACCCAGATTCAAGGGGGTTGGGACACACAGTCACTTTTCAATGGGAGCATTGTCAAAAACTTGTGACCATCTTTCTTTCACCACAGGTAATAATGGGAATGGACAGGTAGAAGGTGAATTATAAGGGAAAAGTCACAGGACTCGGCAACTGCTTGGAGTCATTCAGTCATGAAAGATTTATTGAGCATTTACGATGTCAGGCAATGTTATAGACACTGAAGACACAGCAGTGAACAAAACAGATAAAAACCCCTGGCCCCATGGAGCTTGTATGCTAGTGGATTGGAGAGTGAAAGGAGGCACTGATATTTCCAGTGTCTGTTCCTGGCAGCACAGTGTGGCCATTGTCAAATATAGGGACCTAGGGAGGCCAATCCGAATTTCGGTTTGATAACATAACCAGGAAACTAAGTGCTCAATTCTACTAGCACTTGGGTTGAAATCACAACCACAGGAACAGCCCTCCAACTCCAAGCCATTGAGGAAATCCAGGATTTTGCCTCCAACCACAGGCAGCACCTATGAGATTACAAAGAGAAAGACAGACACTTTAAAAACCTCATAGATTTCCAGCCTTCCTTGGGCTGGAAAAGCATGTGGAATCATGTAAATCCACAGTTTCACCAATTTTTAATTCATGAACAATCTTGTTTCAACAATAATTCTACCTCTTCCCCCTTCCAGATAATTTTGAATAAATCCCAGACATCATATTATCTTAAATATTTCTGTTAAGTATCTCTAGATAAGGACTTAAAAAAATAACCACAAGGTCAGGCGTGGATCACTTGAGCCCAGGAGTTCAAGATTAACCTAGGCAATGTGGCAAAACCCCATTTCTACAAAAAATACAAAAATTGGCCAGGCATGGGGGCACGGGACTGTAGTCCCCACTACTTGGGAGGCTGAGGTGGGAGGATCACTTGAGCCTAGGAGGCATAGGTCACAGCGAGCCAAGGTCATGCCACTGCACTCCAGCCTGGGTAACAGAGTGAGACCTTGTCTTAAAAAATAATAATAAATAACTAACCACCATATCATTATCACACCTGAAAAATTAACAATAATCAATTTCTCAATATATATTAAACCAATATTCAAATATTCCCAATGTATGGTTTTTTTGAATCAAGTGCCAAAAAAGGTTCATACATTATGTTTGCTGGTAAGTATTTCATCCCTTGTGCTTGATCTTGATCTATAGGTCTCTCTTCCATTTCTCTTTCTCCTTTCCTTTTATAGTAGCCCCCCTCTTATCTGCTGGGGATAAGTTTCAAGACCTCCGGTGGATGCCTGATAACACAGATAATATTAACCCCTATATCTGCCATGTTTTTTTCCTATTCATACATACCTCTAAAATAGTTTAACTTATAAATTAGGCACGGTAAGAGATTAACAACAATAACAAATGATAAAATAAAATAATTAGAACAATAGACTGTAATGAGAGTTATGTGAATATGGTCTCTCTGTCTCTCTCTTTACAAATATCTTATTGTACTATACATACCTATTTTGGGACCATGGTTGACCACGGGTAACTGAAACCTCAGAAACCAAAACTAAGGATAAGAAGGTACTATTGTAATTTCCTTTTAGTTTTTTTGAGACAGAGTCTCACTCTGTTGCCCAGCCTGGAGTGCAGTGGCACAATCTTGGTGCACTGCAACCTCCTTCTCCCAGGTTCAAGCGATTCTCCTGCCTGAGCCTCCCTAGTAGCCGGGATTATAGAAATGCACCACCATGCCCAGCTAATTTTTTTTGTATTTTTAGTAGAGACAGGGTTTCACTGTGTTGACCAGGCTGGTCTTGAACTCCTGACCTCAAATGATCCGCCTGCCTCGGCCTCCCAAAGGGCTGGGATTACAGGCGTGAGCCACCGCACCCAGCCCCCTTGTAGTTTATTGTTGAAGAAATCAGGTTGTCCTATAAAATTTTCCACAGCCTGAATTTTTCAAGATTGCTGTCCTATGGTGATGTTTAACTTGTTTCTCTGTCCTCTGTGTTGCTGGTAAATTGGTAGTGAGATCCAGAGGCTGAATCACACTTAGGTTTCTTGACAAGAATAGCTCAGAGGTGGGATTGTGTATTTCCGCCAGGAGTCACATGTCAGGTTGATTTCCTTCTTGTGATGTTAACATCCATTGACAATTTTTGTTAAAATGCAGTATTTTCAGGGGTTGTAGAACAATGATGTTCCAATTCTATAATTCCTTTGTCATTTTTCAGCTGCAATACTTATATAAAGAGAAACTTCTCTCTCCTCAACTATTTGGCCATCTGAGATAACAGTCATACAAGAAAGGCAAGATAAATGCTGGATTTTTTTTTGCCTCTATTTACCTGTTTTCAAAATGATAACATCGTTCCCTTGCCCTTTTCAAAGTTAACCAATGAGTTAGATTGTTTCTTTTTGTCATTAAAAACCCATGTATTTAAACATATTTAATACGTTTCAGCTCATTGTCCTTATTATCATTGATACTCACATTGTGCCTCCCACCTTTCGTGGCCGGTGGGAGCCTCTTCAAGTTAGCGCCTGAGTTCTTTTGTCACAACATAATAGTTTTTGATATTTTATTTCCTTGCTTTCTGTTATGACAAGATGTTCCAAGCTCATTTTGTATATTTCCCACCTCAGACTGGACCTAGGCATTTCTCAAGGAGTCTTGGTTTCATTGGTGGGAATTAATACGTCTAGACCACAATTAGTAGCCACGAGGTTGCTCATTGTTTCTAGGCCTTTTCAGTGGGCAGGGCTAGGAAATACTTTTTCTTTTTTTTTTTTTTTGAGACAGAGTCTCGCTCTGTCACCCAGGCTGGAGTGCAGTGGTGCGATCTCGGCTCACTGCAACCTCCACCTTCCGGGTTCAAGCGATTCTCCTGCCTCAGCCTCCTGAGTAGCTGGGATTACAGGCACACACTACCACACCCAGCTAATTTTTGTATTTTTAGTAGAGACGGGGTTTCACCATGTTGGTCAGGCTGGTCTCGAACTCCTGCCCTTGCGATCTGCCCGCCTTGGCCTCCCAAAGTGCTGGGATTACAGACGTGAGCCACCGCGTCCAGCCAGAAATACTTTCTTTTTAATGACAAAATATTATCACCAATTCATACTGAAACTTCCAGTTCAATTCAGTACCATCAAGTTTTGACTTAACTTCATCTATCTTGCATATATGCCTGCTTTCTCTGACACTGAAAAATCCTGGTTCTTGACAATATAACAGAATTACTTATTTCTTTTATCTCACCGTATGCACACAATGGTCTCAGAATAACATTACCACCAACAATATGATTACTGAAAATAAGTCACCATTTTTTTCTTTCTTTCTTTTTTTGGACAGTTCTTTTTGTCCTTAGGATATAGCCCACTAGGAATGTACACTCAAGTTTCTATGCTTTCAGGTCACTTGGAATCATTTTTCTCTGTATGGTTATGCTTCACATTAGATAAAGAGTTATATTCATTTTTTTCATTTGCTTTAGATTTTTTAATTACTCTCTTTTAAAACTTTACATTTCTTATATAAAATATTTACATGGTTCTAAAGTCCTATCTACAAAACAAGGTATATTGAGAGAAGTTCAGCTTTTATCCTTGTCTCTCTATCCTATTCCCTCTCTTTCCCTATAGATAACTTTTTTAAAATTATGGTTTATCTTTTGTAAAATATACATATATAAATATATATAGTCATATGTCACTTAATCACAGGACATGTTCTAAGCAATTTCGTCATTGTGTGAACACCACGAAGTGTACTGATACAAACCTAGATGGTAGAGCCTACTATACACCTAAGCTAGGTGGTATAGCCTACTGCTCCTAGGATACAAACCCCTACAGCATGTTACAGTACTGAATACTGGAGGCCACGGTAACACAGTGGTTAGTATTTGTGTATCTAAACACAGAAAAGCTACAGTAAAAATACTGTATACAATCTTATGGGACCACCATTGTATATGTGTTCCATTGTTGACTGAGTCATCGTTACACGGTACATGACTGTATATACACACATCTCCTTTCTTAAATTCTACACACACTTTTCCCCATCTTGCTCTTTTCATTGGAGATGACTCCAGAACAGAACTTCCCTTGGAACCTGACAAACGGGGCTTCTACCCTAAGTCCCTGCTTAGAGGGCCCCACATATCACAAACACAAACGAGACTCTTATTAGAAAGCTCACAGGTGCCTTGGACCCTAGGTTACCGGCACTCAGTGCTGGCTAAGTGAGATGCAGTCCCCAAACATCCTCTTTCATAAGGAACACCATTCAGGCCCCAGGGAAACCCTGTCTCTACTAAAAACACAAAAATTAGCTGGCTGTGGTGGTGCACACCTGTAGTCTCAGCTACTTGGGAGGCTGAGGCAGGAGAATCACTTGAACTTGGGAGGCGGAGGTTGAAATGAGCTGAGATCGCGCCACTTCACTCCAGCCTGGGCGACAGAGCGAGACTCCGTCTCAAAAAAATAAAAAATAAAAAAATAAACCACATTATCTAATCCTTTCCCCTAATGCAATTGCAGTTGATTATTACATAACAACATATAGCTCCCCAGGAATGTCGAATGTGTCTGCTGTTCTCTCACCTTGCCAAGAATATGTTGTAAAACTTGTGAGGTTTCACCAATCTGATAGGTTAGAAATAGTATCTGTGTCATTTTAATGTTTTATTATTCTAATTCTGAGTGAGGTTGAGCTTGTGTGTGTGTGTGTGTGATTAGGACCATTTGCATTTCTTTTTCTGCGAATTATCTTTTCATACCTCTAGCCCATTCTCCTGGGGTATTACTGGGTTGTTTTCCTCTCCTCTATTTTTAGGAGCTTCTCATAAACAAGGATATGAACTCTTTGTCTGTGAACACCTGGTTCTTTCTCTGTGCTAGACTCCAGATTAGATTTAGGAAATTCAACAAAATATAAGGCATCACCCATGCTCTCAAACAAACTATAAATATTACACAACAACAAGAGATACATGTAACTTCATGAAACAATAAGAAAGGAGAGATCTCAGATGAGGACATAATTGGTGAACAAAATTAGTTGCTATGATCCAGAAGTTCAGAAAAAGGGAGTGTTCAGGCTACGGTGCCCGGAAGATCTTATGAAGGTGGAAGTGGATCTAAGCTGGATTTTGAGGAACAAATTGGAAACATAGAAGAGAAGGTTGGAAAGTGAGGATGCCACCCCTGGCAGGGAGAGTCGTGAAGCTGGGTGGAGGAGTATGGTCTTATTGGGTAGGTATAGGAGGAGGAAAATGACGTGTGCTAAGATATCAAATGAGGGGATGCAGGACACAGCCCTGGGGGCCAGAGGACATTACACCAACGACTCCAAAGCTTCCCACTGCCAGCAGGTGGAGTGAGCCCCACACCTTCCCCACACACCCCAACACTATCTGAGGGTAGGAAACAGCAGGGATGCAAAAAGAGGGGCTATCTGAGAGACTCTCCTGAGTATTTATCTTAAGGAGAATGAGTGCTACCTAAACGGGCTACTTAAATGATCAGATCAGACAGATTCTTTTTTTTTTTTTTTTTTTTTTTTGAGATGGAGTGTTTTTGTTTTGTTTTGTTTTTTATGGAGTTTCACTCTTGTTGCCCAGGCTCTGGAGTGCAATGGCGTGACCTCAGCTCACTGCAACCTCTGCCTTCTGGGTTCAAGTGATTCTCCTGCCTCTGCCTCCTGAGTAGCTGGGATTGCAGGTGTGTGCCACCACACCCAGCTACTTTTTTATATTTTTGGTAGAGACATGTTTTCACCATGTTGGCCAGGCTGGTCTCGAACTCCTGACCTCAAGTGATCTGCCCGCCTCAGCCTCTCAAAGTGCTGGGATTACAGGCGTGAGCCACCGCACCTGGCCTGGACAGAGATTCTAATTATATTAGCCACTTAGCTCATTCTACCCCGATCACATGTGAGTGAAGGGGATGGGGGCTGAGGAAGAAGCCAGATGAGTTATAGACAAAGTAAAACATTCACGTTGGTCTACCCATCTCAGTTATAGTTTGAGCTAACATTTTTGACCCTGCCGTATAAGACTGTAAGGGGCAGAATGTGTTCCCCCACCCCAAGTTCACATGTTGAAACCCTGATCCTCCAATGTGACAGTAAATGATTGGTCCCTTTATAAAAGGGACCCCAGAGAGCTCTCCTGCCCTCTTTCTGCCATGTGAGGATCCACAGAGAAGTTGCCAGTCTGCAACCTGGAAGAGGGCCCTCACCAGAACCTGACCAAGCTGGCACCCTCATCCTGGACTTCCAGACTTACAAACTGTAAGAAATAAGTATTCGGAATTCTACTGTAGTAGCCCTAACTGACTAAGACAAACACCTGTCTCATAGGGCTGTTGGAAGGATGACATGGGCTACCACATATAAGGTGCTTAGCACCTGCCTGGCACATAATAATGCTAAGCAAGTGTAAGCTATTATTATTAGGTGATCAAAAAATAGTTGCTGAGGGAGTGAGCAAATAACTAAGTCAAAGCATGAAAGATTGACCAGTTGGCGACAGTCCTTGGTAGAAAAAGCCTGCGGGTCAGACAAACCTAGTGTCCCTCACACCCCTGCTGAGAACCACAACCATCCCCTGTCTGCACCCTCACTTGCCCTAGCAGGAGCCAGTGCTGGTCTGGCATACAGATTCTTTGGCTGTATCCCTTGGACAATTATAACTGAGGAATTCAGCTTATTTTGGGTGAAATCCCTGGAAGTCCAACTTGCGATCTCAATCTGGGCAATGCAGCCACATTTTCCAATGAGTAACTCCCTCCAGTATAACTCCTGGCAGACGATGCTATCGGTCGCTGAGAGAATGTGCCGTCATACGTGGGAAATAGTAAGACCACTGCGTGGGGCTTGACTCATCTGTCAGAGACGGGGTATTTTGAAATCTTGACCTCATTTGCAAACATGTGTTTGCACATACCTTTTGTCAGATGCAACTTTTCCATTCCCAATTTAGCTCCTCCAAATTTTCCCTGAAATGAAAGATGTGACAATGAAGAGAGATAAAGAAACTTTTAATAGGTCTTGATCCAGGTATGTTCTGGGAGAACTCATCTGTCTCTAACTTCCTGTTGACCCCAGAGCCAGGTCTAGGGAGACAGACGAGGCAAGTACCAAAACTGTTAACAACTACCACTTACTGTAAGCATTACCTGTGGGCCAGGCACCGTGTTAACCACTGTACGTACAGAGATTCCTTCACGTACATCGTGACACTAGAGACCCAGAGAGTTTAAGTGGCTTGCTCAATGTCACGAGCTGGAATGTGAATTCAGGCTGCCTATCTCCAAAGCATCTTTGTTTAACCACCTCGGTAGACACTATCTGGATACTACCTTGCTTTATAACATCAGCCAAGAGCCTCTGGCCTTCTGGTTGGAAACATGGAAAAAGTTTTCAGCTTTTTTTTTTTTTTTTTGAGACGGAGTTTTGCTCTTGTTGCCCAGGCTGCAGTGCAATGGCACAATCTTGGCTCACCATAACCTCCGCCTCCTGGGTTCAAGGGATTTTTCTGCCTCAGCCTCCTGAGTAGCTGGGATTACAGCCACACCACCAGGCCCGGCTAATTTTGTATTTTTAGTAGAGACAGGGTTTCTCCGTATTGGTCAGGCCGGTCTCGAACTCCGGACCTTAGGTGATCTGCCTGCCTCAGCCTCCCAAAGTGCTGGGATTACAGGCATGAGCCACCATGCCCAGCCGAGTTTTTGTCATTTTTATAGGCTGTCAGGCGTTGTGGGGAAGAGAAGCTAACAGTAGGTCTCTGTGATTTGTAAATAGACACTTTGGGGGAAGAGTGGGCAGCTTTCTGTTTAATCTCCCAAAAGTTTCTAGGTCTGGCTCCCCCATCATCCTGACACTCAATGTTCTCCTCTCCACACTCTGTCTGAACTGAACATAAGTCCCATGCCCCCAGGTTCTTTCCCATCACTCCCCAAGCCCCCACTGAAACACACCAGCATCTTCTGAATTCTAGCGATCTTTACTGAAATGCACTGTATTATTTTTCCAGCATGTGAAACAGTGCTTCCCACATGGTAGGTGCACCATAAAATTGCCACGACTGGCAATGAGGACACAGAGAAAGCTGTGGATGGGGAGCGGGCACGCGGCTTAGGGCTGAGTCCCAGCTCTGCCTTGACTTGCTGTGTCATCTGGTGCAAGTCTCCAGCTTGGTACCTCATCCGTGAAATGATGTCTAGGTGGCATCTTTGGCCTCTTCCATCTGTAGAGGTCTGGATTCTGTGATTCCACAGGCTCATCTGAAGGGCACACTCTAGCTCTGCTGCCCTTTTGAGAAGGCTGGGTTCCTAGGCAGGGCCTCTGTGTCTCCAGCCTGCAGCCAACTTTCATATACCAGGGATGGAAAATAGTGCTATTATTAGTGGGCTCGCAACCGTCAATGTGTTAAATGGAAGGAAATCGGAAAATCTCATTTCATGAGCACATTTAAGGGAGAGCAGGAATCACTGTGTCCTGATGTGCCAAAAACTCTGCACAACTAACTATAAAATTTGGGGCAGCCGGGCACGGTGGCTCACGTAATCCCAGCACTTTGGAAGGCTGAGGTGGGTGGATCACGAGGTCAGGAGATAGAGACCATCCTGGTTAACACGGTGGAACCCCGTCTCCACTAAAAATACAAAAAAAAAAAAAAATAGCAGTGCATGGTGGCAGATGCCTCTAGTCCCAGCTACTTGGGAGGCTGAGGCAGGAGAATGGCATGAACCTGGAAGGCGGAGCTTGCAGTGAGCTGAGATCATGCCACTGCACTCCAGCCTGGGTGACAGAGCGAGACTCCGTCTCAAAAAAAAAAAAAATTGAGGGCATAAAATGTGGGGAAATGAGGGCCTTTTCTTGAGCTCCCCAGTGGTGTTTCTCACACCCAAAAGTTGAGGCTGGGCGAGAACCAAAGGGAAGGCTTCCCAGCACAGTGCACCCAACAGCCACTTAGGATGGCTTCCCAAACACCTGTGGCCAGGCTCCTTCCAACAAGGAAATTAGCTAACTTGACTAGCAAATCCATCCCCTCACTCTGTATTAGTCAGGGTTCTCTTAGGGGGACAGAACTCACAGTTCTAGAGGGACAGAACTGTCAGAACAGAACAGGGCTCTCTTAGAGGGACAGAACTAACATACATCCTGTTAGTTTATTAAACATTAACTTACACGATCACAAGTTCCCACAATAGGCCGTCTGCAAGCTAAGGAGCAAGGAGAGTCAGCCCGAGTCCCAGAACTGAAGAACTTGTAGTCCCATGTTCGAGGGCAGGAAGCATCCAGCACGGGAGAAAGATGTAGGCTGGGAGGCTAGGCCCGTCTCACTGTCTCACGTTTTTCTCCCTGCTTTATATTTACTGGTGACTGATTAGATGGTGCCCACCCGAGTAAGGGTGGGTTTGCCTTCCCCAACCCACTGACTCAAATGTTAATCTCCTTTGGCAACACCCTCACAGACACACCCAGGATCAATATTGCATCCTTCAATCCAATCAAGTTGACACCCAGTATTAACCATCACACACTCCCAAGTGACAGATACTATCTTATGGTGACTCTCCATTGTTATGGTTCAAGCCAAAAGAGTCACTTGGATGACGGGAGGTTTGCGGCAGATAGATGGGCAGTGCCACAGTAAAACCATGGGGAAGGGTTTCTGGGCTGATGGGGCCTTGTAACACCCCCGAGACCAGTGATGGAAGCGGCCACACGCTCTGCCAAGACACCAGATCTGCCCTCATGTAGAAAATTGTCGAGAGAGCCCGCAATTATCCCAAGGTGCCTATAAGATGCCATTTGCCCTGGCAGGTCTAATGTTTGCTGCACGATTGGGTCAAGAAACTTGGGGTGCTGAGGATATCAAGGACTTAGATGAGCCTAATGCAAAGTCCAGTGTGGCGTTCCAGCCTCTGCCACCGATGCCTCACAATTACCCTAAGATTTTCAGCAGCTGCACAAATCTGAAAACGGCCCCTTGATTCTGTTCCCTAGTAGAAAAGATGTATGGCTGGGCACAGTGGATGACATCTGTAATCCCAGCACTTCGGGGGCAGAGGCGAGTGGGTCACCTGAGGTCAGGAGTTTGAGACCAGTCTGGCCAACATGGTGAAACCCCATCTCCACTAAAAATACCAAAAAATTAGCCAGGTGCCATGGCGCACTCCTGTAGTCTCAGCTACCTAGGAGCCTGAGGCAGGAGAATCGCTTGAACCCAGGAGGTGGAGGTTGCAGTGAGCTGAGAACGTGCCACTGCACTGCAGCCTGGGTGACAGAGACCCATCACCAAAACAACAACAACAACAAAACTGAGCTCAAAGTTCACCTCCTCCCTGAAGCTTCTCCGAACACATTAGCCAAAATCTTTTTGAATTCAATAGTAAATATCGGCTCAATTTGTGATCCCAAATCTGCCTCTAGTACATTTGCAGCCTTATCTCGTCCGTCTCATGGATAATCCTGAAAACTGGATCAAGCCCAATTCCTTGAACATACCCCATGCTTACCCATTACTTAGATTTTGATCACAATACTTTCTCTGCCAGGGCCTCTCTGATGCCTCCACCTATGGAAATTCTGTCCATTCTTGGATGTTTATCCACCAAAAAGTCCTCCTCCACCAGGAAGTCTTTCTTTACCTCGACTCCCATCGCACCTGCCGCCCATCCAAATGTGATCCTGTTCTTTTAATCTAGAAAACAGTATGTTTTAGTGTTGGTGGAAAAAAATCACCGAGCACTTTTGTTTTGTTATTAATTGAGACTCCGTCTCAAAAAAAAAAGAAAAGAAAAGATATAAAGAAACAAACTGGAAAAGCTAATATGAGCCAGGAGCAGGTTTTAAAAAGCAAGTGGTTGATTACACAATTATTAACATGAATCAATCACCCAATGAGTCGAATTTGACTGTGCAACAAACATTTTTTGAGAACTTCAAATGCATGCAACATTATGTGAGGTGCTATGGGGGATGCAAACGTTAGGAAAGTATGCTTTTCACTTTAAGATAATCCAGAAGAAGGATGGGTGCGGTGGCTCCCACCTGTAATCCCAGCACTTTGGGAGGCCGAGGTGGGCGGATCACCTGAGGTCAGGAGTTCGAGATCAGCCTGACCAACATGGTGAAACCCCGTCTCTACTGAAAATGCAAAAATTAGCTGGGCATGGTGGTGCATGCCTGTAATCCCAGCTACTCGGGAGGCTGAGGCAGGAGAATCGCTTGAACCTGGGAGGTAGGGGTTACAGTGAGCCGAGATCGCACCACTGCACTCCAGCCTGGGCGACAGAGTAGGACTCTGTCTCAAAAAATAATAATCATCATCATCATCATCTAGAAGAAAACATCTTATTTACAAATAATGTGAACACCAGAAAGATTGTAAGTGTTATATGAAAGGGAACAAGACAGGAATTTAACCTGGGTTCATGAGCCTTCCCCCCAAAATCAACTATAACATTGCACATGCAAACACATGTGCAAATGGAAAGGAGAGTGAAGGTCCATAGTTCCCATGAGATTCTCAAAGTGGTCACTGGGTATTAAATGAAATAAGGCAAGCACAGTAAGACAATACTGTAAATCTCATTTATTTGTGGAATCTGAAAAAAGCTGATCTTATAGAAGTACAGAGTGGAATAGTGGTTACCAGAGGCTAGGGAAGTTAGCGGAGACGGGATGATGGAGAAAGATTGGTCAACAAGTACAAAATTGCAGTTAGATAGGAGGAATAAGTTCTGTAGCACAGCAGGATGACTACGGTAAATGATATCATATTAAATAGTATATATTTCAAAATAAGTAGAGAGGATTCTGAATGTTCTCATCACAGAGAAATGATACATGTTTGGGATGATGAATATGTTAAATACCATGATTTGATCATTACGCAATGTATACATGCATGGAATCATCACACTGTATCCCATAAATATATACAATTATTATGGGTCAATTCAAAACAAAAGGGCTCAGTGACTGTTTTCCACCAACACTTTAATACCATTTTAGAAATTAAAAGAACAGGATCACATTTAGTTGGGCTGCAGGTGTGTTGGGAGTAGAGGTAGAGAAAGACTTCCTGGTGGAGGAGGACTTTTTGGTAGATAAGCCTCCAAGAATGGATAGAATTTCAATAGATGGAGACATCAGAGAGGCCCTGGCAGAGAAGGTATTGTGATCAAAATCTAAGTAACGAGAAAGCGTGGGTTATGTTCAGGGAACTGGGTTTAATCCAGTTTTCAGGATTATCTATGAGAGGGGAGAGATGAGACTGCACATGTACTTGAGGCAGATTCGGGATCACGAATTGAGCCGACATTTACTATTGAATTCAAAAAAATTTTGGCTAAAGTATTCAGAGAAGCTTCAGGGCGAAGGTGAACTTTGAGCTCAGTTTTGTTGTTGCCGTTGTTGTTATGGTGATGAATCTCCCCCTGTCACCCAGGCTGGAATGCAGCAGCGTGATCTTGGCTCACTGCATCCTCTGCCTCCTGGGTTCAAATGATCCTCCCACCTCAGCCTCCTGAGTAGCTGAGACTGCAGGCACCTGCCACCACGTGCAATCAATTTTTGCTTTTTGTTTTTCTGTAGAGACAGGGTTTCGCCATGTTGCCCAGGCTGGTCCAGAACCCCTGGGCTCAAGTGCTGGGATTACAGACGTGAGTCACCATGCCCAGCTGGGGTTCAGTCTTGATGGGTGGGGAGGACCAGGCCTGGTGAATTTGCGGAGAAAGGGCCTTCCAGGAGGAAATAGTACAAACAAAGCGGGGAAGATGGCCAGAAAGAAGCAAAGAAGATGACAAGACCAACTGGAGGTGATAACTGGGAGAAACATCTGTGTTGAAGGACGAGGCGTGAATTGAGAAGGTGGGTTGACACTAGATTATGAGGATTGTAACATTCAAGCTGAACAATTTCTTATTTTCTCCAGGATCTCATTTTTCCCCACTAGGATTTGGCACTCCCAATAAAAATCATATCAACCAAAGTAATTTTTAAGGTTTCTTTCATAGAGAATTTCCAATATATCCAAAAATAAAGAGAGAGCGGTATACTCATTAGTCAACTTCAACAATTCATGAACAAACTTCTTTCTATACTCTCTCCCATACTATTTCACAGCAAATCCCAGACACCATATTATTTCATCTGTAATTTTATAGTGCCCATCTCTAAAAGAAAAGGATTCTTTATTTTTACATAACGACGATAGCATTACCATACATTTAAAAATTAACAGTACTTTATTAATATCATCTAATATCCAGTCTGCATTCAAATTTCCGATTGTTTCATAAATTACTTGTTTTCCATTGTTTCATAAACTGTTTGTTTATTTGAATCAGGCTCCCAAAAAAGCTTCACACGTTGCAATTGGTTGATGTATCTTTTAAGTATCTTTTAATCTATAGCATTGGCCCATCTCTTTGTTGTTTCCTTTACTTGCAATTTATTGGTTGAAGAAGCCAGGCTGTTTGTTCTGTGACGCTTTCTACATCCTGGATTTCGTCGATTGCATTACTCTGGTATGGTTTAACATGGTCTTCTGTCCTCTGTATTTTCTGTAAATTAGTAGATTCAGACGCTTAATAAGATTCAAGTTTGAGCACTTAAGAATAGCTAGATATGGCCAGGTGTGATAGCTCATGTCTGTAATCCCAGCACTTTGGGAGGGTGAGGTGAGTGGATGGTTTGAGCCCAGGAACTCGAGACCAGCCTGGGCAACATGACACAACCTCATTTCTACAAAAAAAAATACAAAAAATTAGCCAGGTGTGGTGGTGCATGCCTTTAGTCCCAGCTACCCAAGAGGCTGAGGTGGGAAGATCACCTGAGCCCAGGAGATCGAGGCTGCAGTGAGCTGAGATTGCATCATTGTACTCCAGCCTGGGTGACAGAGTGAGACTGTTTTTAAAAAAAAAAAAAAAAAGAAAGAAAGAAAAGAAAAGAATAGCCTCCTAAGAGCCCAATGGTAGGCCAAGTCTTTGCATGCATTGTCTTATTTAATCCTTAAAACAATCTCATTCAGTCTGTGCTATCATCATTGCCATTTAACAGATGAGGAAACTAAGGTCTTGAGATGTCATGTGGCTTGTCTAAGGACACAGTTGTAAGTGGTGGAGCCAATTTAATTGATTGCTGAGTCCAGATGTTTACCCCCTGTATTAGTCTGTTCTCATGTGCTAATAAAGACATACCCAAGACTGGGTACTTTATAAAGGAAAGAGGTTTAATGGACTCAGTTCCACATGGCTGGGGAGGCCTCACAATCATGGCAGAAGGCAAAGGAGGAGCAAAGGCACGTCTTATATGGTAGCAGGCAAGAGAGGTTATGCAGGGAAACTCCCATTTATAAAACCATCAGATCTCGTGAGACTTATTCACTACCACAAGAACAGTATGGGGGAAACCAACCCCATGATTCAATTATCTCCACCTGGCCCCGCCCTTTTTGCATGGGGATTACTACAATTCAGGGTGAGATTTTAGTGGGGACACAGCCAGATCATATCACCCCCCCATGCCATCCATCCTACCTGCAGCAGCAGATTACCACCTGCCTGCAGTCAAGGCACATCATGAATATCATGATTATCCCTTATCCCTTCCAATTTATCTTGCTTAGATATGCAGAGTAAATGCTGCTAAGCGTGTACAGGTATCTGCATGTCTATCAGAGTGGATCTTTCTGTGTAAGGGCTGTTGGTATGGTCTATTTGGGTGTACAACTTCTAATTAGCAGTCTTTCTATATTACATTCTTTCTTTACTTTTTATAAGAACTTTGATAGGCTTAGATTATTTCCTCTGCAGTTATGTATTGTTTCTGTATCATTTAAAACTCCAAGCAAGGAACAACACTCATTAATATACATCTATAGAAAATAACAAAAGAGCACTACACACTTCCTTTGAAAGGCAAAGGCTATGTACAAGTCCTTTCCAAATGGTAATGATAACGATGATAAATATAATAGCAATAATAAAGAGTGACACTATTGACTGCTAGTTTGTGATAAGATATTTACAAATGCCACTGTGCTAAAACCTTTACAAGTGTTAGTTTATTGTATTTAACCTTACAGCAACCTTATAAAGTAGGTCTTTCTCTCTTTCTTTTCTTTCTTTCTTTCTTTCTTTCTTTCTTTCTTTCTTTCTTTCTTACTTTCTTTCTTCTTTCTTTCTTTTGACACAGTGTTTTGCTTTGTTGCCCAGGTTAGAGCACAGTGGCTGCATCATAGCTCACTGCAGCCTCAACCTCCTGGGCTCCAGCGATCCTCCCACCTCAGCCCCCCAGATAGCTGGGGCTATAGGCACCCAACACCAAACCTGGCTAATTTTTAAATTTTTTGTAGAGATAGGGTGTCCCTATTTTGCTCAGGCTGGGCTCAAGTGATCCTCCCACTTTGGCTTCTGGGCTCAAGTGATCCTCCCACTTTGGCCTCCCAAAGTCCTGGGATAACAGGTGTGAGACACCGTGCCCAGCCTGAAGTAAGTATTGTTATCCCTGTTTTTCAGACAAGTAAATGGAAGCTCAGAGAGGTTAAGGAACTTTCCCAGTATCACAAAGGATGTTTTAAAGCTTTTGATAAAAATATCTTTCAAGAAAACAACTGATTTGGATTTTGCAAACAACTTCCAATGAGATGCCCACATACTTTTTTGCCTGAAGAATAATATCTATTTTCAACAAACCCAGGGCAATATCTTGATTTCCTCTAATGCTCGATGTGTAGGACTGACCAGAAAGGAAGCAAACCAGCCCTGGCTCCTTAAAAAGGAGGTGGCAGCAATGTTGTGTCATGTGACAACAATCAGGCTTGATGTCAAGCTTGGGCCCTCTGTACCAGCAAATGCACCACATTCCCTACAGGTCTGATCCATCAGGGAACAGCAGAAACTCTGAGACCAACAACACTATATTATTTTCTAACCACTGATCTACTGACCAGACTTCAGGCTTCTCAAGCTATTCGCCTCCTGTGACCTGTTCCTCTTTCCATCAGGATGGAAAGGATAATGGCAAGGGTCCTCTGGTAAGCTTTCCTATTACTTGTTATTTGCTAACACTAAAACCAGTAATTCTTACCACTTTGTCAACATTTTTCTTTCTTTTTGTTAGTATTTCCTCCTTTACGTTACTTCTTCCTCTCATTTCTCTTTTCATCTGTCCCTCAAATATTGACTGAAGCAAACAATGCTAGAAGCTTGGGAGTTCCCTGTTGTACATAGGGTTTGGTGTCAGATTTAGGAATCTCCAGGATCACTTCCCACTTTCTTTTGTGCAGCAGGCATTACATACTTTAACCAAACTCTATTACTTCCCACCATTTCCTGATATCACTTTTCCTTGCCTTTGCCATGCTTTGGTTCCTTCCATGCTTGCCTTTTGCAGCCCATCATCCTTAACTGTTGTCATCCTGCTCATCTTTCAGACTCAGCTACAACACTATCTCTTCCCCAAAGCTGAAAGGGATCTCCTCATCCATCCATCCACCCATCCACCCATCCTGTCAACCTACCATCCAGCTCTTCTTCTTTCCATCCATCCATCCATCATCCATCCATTCTTCTTTCCTTTTATCCATTCATACTGCCATCAATCGTGCTGTCCATCCATCCTTCTTTCTATCCATCTGTCCATCCATCCATTCATTCTTCTTTCCTTCATCCATCCATACTGCCATCAATCCTGCTGTCCATCCATCCTTCTTTCTATCCATCCATCCATCCATCCATTTATTCTTCTTTCCTTCATCCATTCATCCTGCCATTCATCCTGCCATCCATCCATTCATCCATCCTTCCTTCCATCCATCCATCCATCCATCCATCCTTTCTCCCATCCACCTATCCATACATTAATCCATCCATCCTGTCATCTTTTTATCCAATAAACATTTATTGAGCATCTACTATGTGTCGAGCACTAAGTTGTTCCTGGGGATACAAGCTGGCCCTTCCTGCCAGGAGTTTACAGTCTAGCACTGTGTTGTCCTATATGGTAGCCACCAGCCACATGTAGCTGTTGAGCACTTACAATGTGGTTAGTATGAATTGACATGTGCTGTAAACCTAAAACACACATCAGATTTTGAATACTTAGCATGAAAAAAAGAAAGTGAACTATCCTAATAATCATTGTTTTCATTGATTACATGTTGAAATGTAACATTCTATATGTATTTGCTTATATATGATTAAAATTAATGTGAATGGTGTCTTTTTACTTTTTAAATGTCTCTACTGGAAAATTTTAAATTATATATGTAGCGTGATTGGTGGCTCACATTCTATCTCTATTGGACAGTGCTGGTTTTTAATGAGGATACAGGGATAGAGGGTAAAAAGTGTAAGGATTTTTAATAGCTGTTTTAATGAAAGTGTGTACAGGATATGGGGAGGGACTGTTTTTAGTCCGGGAGGCCATGAGAAGAAAGAGGAAGGGAATCAACTTACGATGTGTCAAGCATTGTGCCAGGCACTATAAATATCCTTATGCACTATGGTAGGCACTTCAATATCTTCACACATTGGCTTGGCACTTTAAATATCTCACTTAATCCTGACAGTGGCAATCACCGCAATCTGACCATATCTTTCCACCCGTTGGCCCCTCCTTAGTCCAAGTCACCATCCACTCTGAGCTGGGCTATCTGCTGCTGCAACCTGTTAACTGGCCTCCTCCGACTCACTTTAATCCATTCATCCACCTTAGGGCCAGAATGAGCCTTCTAAAACACAAACCTGGTCATGTTACTCCCCCAGTTGAAACTCTCCCACAGATCCCCCATTGAGCTCTGGATAAAATCTCCCACTGAGCTCTGGATAAAATCTAAGTTCCACATCATGGTTTACATATACAGCCGGCCCGCCTACCCTCTCTGTTCCATATCTCCCTCTACCTCCGTGCTTCTTCTCTTTGTTCTAGCTACTCTCAACTTCTTCCTGGGCTTGGAAAGCCCTGCATTCTTTTCTCTCTGTGTTGGTCTCTCTGACAGAATTTTCCTCTTCTCTTTGTCTGGTTAACATTTTATTCTTCAGATTTTATATATATATATATATATATATATATATATATATATATATATATATATTTTATTTTTGAGACAGAGTCTTGCTTTGTCGCCAGGCTGGAGTGTAGTGGCGTGATCTCGGCTCACTGCAAACTCCACCTCCCAGGTTCAAGCGATTCTCCTGCCTCAGCCTCCCGAGTAGCTGGGACTACAGGCACACGCCACCACTCCCAGCTAATTTTTGTATTTTTAGTAGAGATGGGTTTCACCATGTTGGCCAGGATGGTCTCGATCTCTTGACCTCGTGATCTGCCCACCTCAGCCTCCCAAAGTGCCGGGGTTACAGGCATGAGCCACTGCGTCCAGCCCAGATAATATTTTTAATATTACTTTCTCTAAGAAGAATTTCTGGAACCCCCACCATTCTGAGTTAAGTGGCCCTCTTAACTCGGCCTTGGATCTTGCAGTGTTTTCCATAATGTAGCACTGGCGATACTATATTGTATTCTCCCAACCTTTTTGGATGAGAGGCATCTATGAGAACCTGCTAAAAGCTAAATCTTCTCTCCAGAAAAAAGAGAACATGATAAATTTTGCACACAATTTCAGAGGTTTTATAGAACTCCGAAAACCCTCTGGGTTTCTGGGCACTCTGGATTTAGAACTTTTGCTCAATTGCAACTATCTGCCTATCTGTTTACTTTTCCTGCTAGACTTTATGCTCTTCGAGGGAAGGACCATGTCTACGTTATTACAGGTATTTCCTCAGTACCCTGGCCCAGCCCATAGACACAAAAGATACTCAATAACTATTTGTCACAGGTATGGCTTGACTAAGATGCTAGGGGGATAGGATTATCATGCCTTCATTTTCCTTTTCCTTATTATTATTATTATTAATTATTTATTTTTGAGATGGAGTCTCGCTCTGTCGCCCAGGCTGGAGTGCAGTGGCATGATCGTGGCTCACTGCAACCTCCCTGTCTGGGTTCAAGCGATTCTTCTGTCTCAGCCCCGCGAGTATCTGGGATTACAGGCACGCGCCACCACACTCGGCTAATTTTTTTGTATTTTTAGTAGAGATAGGCTTTCGCCATGTTGGCCAGGCTGGTCTAGAACTCCTGACCTCAGGTGAGCCACCTGCCTCGGCCTCCTAAAGTGCTGGGATTACAGGTGTGACCCACTGCGCCTGGCTTATTTTTTTTTTCAGTGGGTTTTGAGGTACAGGTGGTTTTTGTTTACATAACGAGTTCTTTAGTGGTAAATTCTGAGATTTTAGTCACTCGTCACCTGAGCAGTGTACACTATACTCAATATGTAGTCTTTTCTCCGTCACCCTCCTCCCACCCTGCTCCCACCATCCCGGAAGTCCACTATATCACTCTATATGTCTATGCATCCTCATAGCTTAGCTCCCACTTATAAGTGAGAACATGCAGTATTTGGTTTTCCATTCCTGAGTTACCTCATTTAGCATAATGCATGCCTTCATTTTTCTAAACCAAATTAAATCTGACTTAGCCAAATCCTACATGGTTGATGAGAAATGTTAAATTAGCAATTTTCAGGAACCTCTTCTCCTGGGTTTTTTCAGATCTCCAGAGCTTAAGTGCCTCAAGAAAATTCTGGAAGTTTCTTTTTTTTCTCAACTCATTGAAGCCTCTGTTTTTACCATCACTCCTTCTGCTCAAGATATCACAGTTGAGCACTGATCTTTCTCACTGGTCTGGTGTTACTGCCCTGAGTGGGCTGTGAGATGACCATCACGGTAGTCCACGCCCTGAGGTTCTACTGCTTCCAGGAATCATGTTCAAAGGGTACCCCTGTCTACACTTCTAGACATCCCAAACCTCCCACGGCCTTACCACCGTCAAAGGAACAATTCTTCAACTCAAAAACACTACCCTTTTTATCTCTCTGGGATGATCTCACATGAAGCCCCCCAACACGTATGGCAGAGACTGAAAACTCAAATAAATACCTAAAAAGATGGGGCAAATAATGTTAATGAGCATAGTGGGTCAGCTTTAAGAGATAACAGGGGCTGGACACCGTGGCTCGCGCCTATAATCCTAGAACTTTGGGAGGCTGAGGCAGGTGGATCATCTGAGGTCAGCATTTCAAGACCAGCCTGGCCAACATGGTGAAACCCTGTCTCCACTAAAAATATAAAACTTAGCCAGGTGTGGTGGCACACGCCTGTAATCCCAGCTACTTGGGAGGCTGAGGCATGAGAATCGCTTGAACCCGGGAGGTGGAGGTTGCAGTGAACCAAGATAGCGTCACTGCACTCCAGCCTAGGCAACAGAGCGAGACTCCATCTCAAAAACAAACAAACAAGCAACAACAACAAAAAAACAGACAGCAAGGAGCGGCAGTGACCAAGGCACCCTGGGAAGCACACACTTTGTCTAAAAATGAGCAGCAGCCAAGGCATCGACAAATTGTTGCTTGAATTTCCATACCTTCCAATTTTTCAAGGGAAGCTAGAAATCTCGATGTTCATGTGACAGCTCTTTTCTTCTTTATTTTTCAAATATTACCTTATTAAGGTATATTTTGCATATTCATATAATTTGCAGTGTATAATAATTTTTTAAATAAATTTACCAAGTTCTGCAACCATCACCATAAATCGGTTCATCAACTCAATCAGATCTCTCATGTACATTCACTGTGCTGACCCTCCTCCCCAGCCCCAGTCCTCACCACAGGCAAATATTCTATTTTCTCTACAGCTTTTTTTTTTTCTTCTTCTTCTTCGTTTTTTTTGAGACGGAGGTTTGCTCTGTCACCCAGGCTGGAGTGCAATGGCACGATCTCAGCTCACTGCAACCTTCACCTCCCAGGTTCAAGCGATTCTCCTGTCTCAGCCTCCTGAGTAGCTGGGATTACAGGCATGCCCCAGCACGCCTGGCTAATTTTTGTATTTTTAGTAGAGACGGGGTTTCACCATGTTGTCCAGGCTGGTCTCGAACTCCTGACCTCATGATCCACCCGCCTCAGCCTCCCAAAGTCTTGGGATTACAGGCATGAGCCACCACGCCTGGTCTACAGCTTTGCTTTTTATGGGCATTTCATATAAATTGGATGATACAATATGTGGTCTCTTGTGTCTGGCTTCCTTCACTGCGCATGATATTTTCAAGGTTTACCTATGTTGTTGCATGTACTCATAGTTTCTTCCTTTTTATTGTTGAATGATATTCCGTTGTATGGATAGACCACTTTTGACTATTCACCATGCTAATGGACCATTCGGTTGTTTTCATCTTTTGGTTATTATGAATAATGCTGCTATAAACATTTGTGTGCAAGTCTTTGTGTCCACACAGGTCTTCCTTCTTTTTTGGTAGACACCTAAGGGTAGAAATGTGGGATTATATGGTGAATTTATGTTTAAATTTTTTTTTTTTTTTGAGCCAGAATCTTGCTGTTACCCAGGCTGGAGTGCGGTGGCACAAGCTTGGCCCACTGCAACCTCCGCCTCCCAGGTTCAAGCAATTCTCCTGCCTCAGCCTCCCGAGTAGCTGGAATTACAGGCGCCCACCACCACGCCCAGCTAATTTTTGTATTTTTAGTAGAGACGGGGTTTCACCATGTTGTCCAGGCTGGTCTCAAACTCCTGACTTCAGGTGATCCACTCGCCTTGATAGCTCTTTGTTTCTTTATGTTTCAAATATTACCTTATTAAGGTACATTTTGCATATTCATATAATTCGCAGTGTATAATAATTTTTTAAATAAATTTACCAAGTTCTGCAACCATCACCATAAATCAGTTCATCAACTCAATCAGATCTCTCATTTACATTCACCGTGCTGACTCTCCTCCCCAGCCCCAGTCCTCACCACAGGCAAATATTCTATTTTCTGTCTCTACAGTTTTTTTTTTTGTTTTTCTGTTTTTTTGTTTTTTTTTTTTTTTGAGACGGGGTTTCACCATGTTGTCTAGGCTGGTCTCAAACTCCTGACCTCAGGTGATCTACCCGCCTCGACCTCCCAAAGTGCTTGGATTACAGGCGTAATCCACTGCCACCGGTCTTATGTTTAACTTTTTAAAAAAACTGTGGTCAAAAACACAGAATACATTTAACTTTTTAAGAAACCACCAAACTATTTTACAAAGTGGCTGAACCATTTTCCGTTCCTGCCAGCAGTGGCCTAAGGTTGCTGTTTCTCTACATCCTCACCAACATTTATTATTGTCCATCTTTTTTATTATAGTTATTCCAGTATATGTGAAGTGGGATCTCATAGTGTTTTGTTGTTGTTGTTTTGTTGTTGTTTGTTTGTTTTTGAGAAAGAAAATAAAAAAATTTTTTTTTTCTTTTTGAGACGGAGTCTCGCTCTGTCGCCCAGGCTGGAGTGCAGTGGCACAATCTTGGCTCACTGCAACCTCCATCTCCTGGGTTCAAATGATTCTCCTGCTGCAGCCTCCTGAGTAGCTGGACTTGCAGGTGCCCACCACGACACCCGGCTATTTTTTGTATTTTCAGTAGAGATGGGGTTTCACCATGTTGGTCAGGCTGGTCTCAAACTCCTGACCTCAAGTGATCCACCCACCTCACCCTCCCAAAGTGCTGGGATTACAGGCGTGAGCCACCGCGCCTGGGCCTTCATTGTAGTTTTGATTTGCATTTCCCTAATGGCTAATGATATGGGATAGTGCTTGGTTTTTAAATGTTGGAATTCATTCAATTTTTTTTAAAAAATGCTGTATATCCTGTACAGATGGAACAAAACAAGTTCAGGGGCTGGAACTGCCCTGAGGGAACAAATATGGACTTCTGACCTAGACCCTGCAAAACAATAGTCTGTGAACTTTTTCTTTTGGAGATAAAAGCAGCCTAGACCGACAGCAAAAATTACTAGAGAGAGAGAGAGGAGAAAGATTCCTCAGTCTTCTGTAATAAACATGTACACTAGAAAAAGGGACAATTTTCAATCTATTTATAATGCCACATTTTGTTTACAGGAAATCATTATGCTCCATCTTCATGAACGAGTCTTTTAGGTATACATTTGTATCCCCTTTTGAGAGATGAGGTTAAGTAATTTGTGAAAGGCAAAGTTGGATTCAAAGCCAGGTCTATCTGCTTCTAAATCCTGTGCTTTCTTCATCAAGATGGCAGCAAATTCTGGGATGAAGCTACATGGTTGGAACTGGAGTCAGAGGAGGCTGCCTGGGATGGATGATAGATATATAGTGGGGCTAGGTGTTGGGAGAAAAAGAAAGGAAAGAAAGAGATTGCAAGAGTGGTTCCATTCACAAAGAAGTTGGGAAGAGAGAGTTTGAGTAGTGGGAAAGGGTGATAGAAGAAAATAGGTTTGGTACCTTCTGCTTTTGCAGTCCCCCTCTCATCCAGGCAGTTGGACATGTAGGGCCCAAGTGCCAAAGAGCCACCAGGGGGAAAGATACATTTGGGGATATTCTCTTTATTATTAATTTCTCATCAAGACTAATGTCTTTATGGTATTTCCTTCTGGTGAACTTCCTGCCCTCCTCTTCTGATGGTCCATTGAGTTTGTGTTAAAATTATGTGAAAGTTGGCCGGGCACGGTGGCTCATGCCTGTAATCCCAGCATTTTCAGGGGCCGGGTCGGGCGGATCACGAGGTCAAGAGATCGAGGCCAACATCCTGGCCAACATGGTGAAACCCTCTCTCTACTAAAAATACAAAAATTAGCTGGCCGTGGTGGCGCGCGCCTGTAGTCCCAGTTACTAGGGAGGCTGAGGCAGGAGAATCACTTGAACCCGGGAGGCGAAGATTGCAGTGAGCTGAGAACATGCCAGTTCACTCCAGCCTGGTAACAGAGCGAGACTCCATCTCAAAGAAACAAACAAAACAAAACAAAAAAATATATATACACACACATATATATACATATATACATATATATACACATATATATGCAAAAGTTTTTGAATTATGAGAAACTACTGACTCTGTGGCTTACAGTGTTATTCGCGAGTGGATGCACTAAGCATAGAACATTGCACTGAGAAATGACTTCGGTGGCTGACAAAGTGGAGACTCAGGCCTCAGAGAGGGAGTCTTTGGTCTTCTCTAAACACATTTTAAAATTCATTAGAGGAATATCATTCATATATTTTGGAAAGTTAATTTGTACTCCATGTGCAGACTGCATTAGAAGGACAGACCTCTTCACAGAGCCAAGTCACAAGACACCTGGACACGGGGTAGTACCCCAGCAGGCAGGTGGGGGTGGGGGACCAGATGCAGCAGGACAAAGGACAAAACAGAGCCTGGTTCGGACTTCCCCAGGAAGGACTCTGCACTCAGCTGCCTTCCAGCCTCTTCTGAATTCCACCAACCCTTCCTTAGGACTTCCTGCCTTGTTTTTTGCTTAATTCACTTTTTGCCAGACTAGACGTTTCCTAGGCTTAGGCAAACACATCATTATCACATGTATTAAAATGCTCCCATAGCCTACATTAATAACTGATTAATAACTGCATCTTGCTGTGAATTTTTATGATCTTGACTTTCAGGTTTTGTATGAATAATTCATTTTGTTCATGTGATTTAGACTTTATTATATTTATATATAATTATGCAAGAGTTTTGTTGCAGTTGCCTAGATTCTGCAGACATTTCATTAAATTTTATTTACTTTGATTTTTCCAGTTTCCTTTCGTTATTTTGGGGCCACTGTTTTTCAGTCTCCAACGTTTTCATAAGCCCTAGGGGATATGACAGCGCTACAGGAATCCAGCCTTATATTCTTAAGAACCTCTCATAGCCCTTCACGTAGGGAGCTCTGATGAATGAATGAAGGAGCGACTGAACGAGTGAATGAATGAGGTGAATAAAGTTTCTTCCAAGTTTTCTCTCCAAGGTCGGTTCTCTTCTCATTCTTCTGGAATCTCAGCCTTGCCTGGAGGCTGGGCAGGAGAGCCTCTCACCCCGCTAACACCAAAACTGCGACCTTGGAGGACCGTGTCCTGCGCCTGGCGCTCGGCCGATCCCGGCAGAGTCCGCCTGGGGCCGGGGTCGGGACAGTGGCCGCAGCGTGGAGCGCAGCCGGGTCCCGGGCCAAACCCTGTGCGCATGGGCGGAGCAGCGCCCTCCCCCGCGTTCCTTCCCCCACTGCAGGTGAGTCGCAGCGCCGCGGCCCCAACCCCGCGCAGCCCCGGGGGTGACGTCAGGACTCTGGACCGCGCTCCGCCCCGCCCCTGCAGGCAACGCTGAGGGCCCGCGACTCCGCGGTGGAACCCCGTCCCGCTGCGGTACATGCCGGCTGCCGCAAGCACAGGGGGCGACCGGGCGCTCGAATGTGCTGCGGCTGCGGCGGCTGCCTGACGCTAGGACGAGGAGTCTGCAGTCAGAGCGCCAGCCTCCTGCCGCGGCCCACCTGCCCCGCGGCCCGCACAGCCAATGTCAGCGCAGCGCGCCGGCCGCCGCGGGGCCCGCACCCGCAGCCTCGCGGGATCGCCGGGCGTTCAGCCAGCCTCAGCTGTCCATCTACGCACGAGCCAGCCAATCCCGCGCCACTGCCCCGGCCGCACCTCCCGGAGCCTATGACGGGCGTAAGAGCCAGCCCATGAGATTGGGGCCTCTGTGGCCTGGGCTGGGAGCGGGAGCCAATGAGCGTCATTCCAGGTGGGTGGAGGGAGCCGGACTCGGGAAGGTAGCTTCGTTCGGGTTGCTAACGTCTTCCCTTGGAGATGGGCGCGCAAACCAACCAGTGGGTCTGGGGGCGGCGGTGATGGGCGTGGAGCTGGCCCAATGAGGGTAGGGGTGGGTGGGGCAGCCCCGAGCAGCAGTGCTAAAGGAGCCCGGCGGAGGCAGCGGTGGGTTTGGGACTGAGGCGCTGGATCTGTGGTCGCGGCTGGGGACGTGCGCCCGCGCCACCATCTTCGGCTGAAGGTGAGAGGTGCGGCTACCCGGGTCCGAGTGCACGGCCCAGGGCTGGGGGACAGTTTGTGGAGGGAGGAATGGCTCCTGGGCTGAGGGGTCCCGGGCGGCTCTGGAGGACAGGAACGGGGGACCGAAGCGGGAGCTGGGGAAGACAGAGGGGCTTCTGAGCTGTAGGGTTTGTGCTGCGGGGACCTTAGGTTAGTTTGAGCAGGGTCCTGGGCTGGGGGCACTGGGACCTCAGTGGGTGGAGATGGAGAGACTCCCGGAGGAGCGGGGAATGAAGTCCTTGTGAAACCCGCGGGGGTCAGGGCCTGGGTGTGCAGGAGGGCGACCCCTGGGGGGCTGGGGGATGGAGATCTGGGGGTGGGGACGTGAGGACCAGGTTCTCGGTGGGTGGGATCCCTGGGGGCGCGAGGTCGAGGGGCTAGTGTCCCGGCGGAGGTCTCGGCGTGCCCCGCGAGCCAGTGTCTGCCTCCCAGGAAGAGAGGGGATTCTAAGCGGGGCTGGAAAGCGCAGTCCCGGCGGTAGGGTGGGGGGGCGCTGGGCAGGAAGGGCCCCTGCGTGGGTTGCTGGGTGGGTTAGGCCTGGCGCGACCGGTCCCCCGCAGCACCAGAGGGGTTCACCATGGGCTTGGAAGGCGGGCGGCGCGCGCCCGACCCGTGGGTGGAGGGACAGGAGGGCATTGGCTCTGCGCGGCCGGGGAAGCGCGCGGCGGGTGAGGGGCTCCGGAGCCGGCCGCGGGCGTGGGGAGGGTCGGACTCCGCCGGCGCCGGGGAAGGAGCGCGGGAGGAGGGCGTCCTGCCGCGCCCTCCGTGGAGCGCCTAGGCCGGGGGTGGACGCCCTGCGAGGCCCAGGCGGTTTGAGGGGGCGAGGCGGGAAATGTGGCGGGGCGCGCTGCAGCAGGACGGCCGGGGGGAGGGTCAGCACTCGCCTCGGGATCCCTTTATTGTGTAAGCGAGCTGGGAATGGCTCGCCGCAGTCTCTTCATTGCCTTCTGCAGTTGGGGGTCACACCCTGATCCCATAAAATCGGACTGGAATTGGTTCGGAGGGAAGTTGAAGCCGCGGAGTCCTGGCATTTGTGGGGGCTTTGTGGGCCTGTGGTGGGCGGATGCGGCCCTGGGAAGCGGGAGGCCCCCAGCCAGGCCTGTTTGGAACTAGGGCCTTAGGAAGGAGGTTGGCGACTCGGCGGGTCAGACCGGGCTGGTGAGGTTTGGATAACGTGGCCTCTGCCTACAGCCGTTATCTCTGTTTCTTTAGGGCCTCTGCAGCTCCCTTCAAGATCACTGCGGTGGATGGAAGGGGGTGGGGTGGGCTGGGGTGGGGTAGGGGAAAGCAGGCGGGGTAGATGCAGACTGCAGATGAAACAAAGACTGCTGTTTTCGCTGAATAATGTAATACCAAACATAATACTTTGGCTTTGCTGAGATTTTGTTTTTTAACGTTGAAACTGAGGATTCTTTGAGTCAGGTTTAATTATTCTTGATAGTATCTCACTCTGGAAAACTTTATAATCTATTTATTGTTTTATCTCCTTCATCAATCTGCCTTTATTAATTATTCTTTGAGTCCCTTGCTTTTGATGTTTAAGTATGCCCTGCCTGTCTCGGGTTCTGGAAAAGTGGCCATTTTATGCATCTCCTTACTTCTGCATCTTAAATTCAGTTCTTCCCCGTCCTTATCTGGAGAAAGCATATGGTGTAATTGTGCGATATAGCACGAGCTTTGGCAGCAGAAGGATGTGACCCCTGCGAGCCTGGCTTTTCATTTGGGCTCCATAGGGAAATCATTATAACGAAGGCAGCTGAGATGGAAGGTGAGATGGAGGAAATCTTGAAGGGCACGTTGTAGGGTGGAAGACTATATGCTTCAGCGGTTTATGCACTTTATCACATGTGAGGAATTAAAGTTCCTGGTGTTGGATCCTAGTTTTGGAAATATTAAACACAGTATAGAGATATTAATTGGGAGATGGGGCAGGCCATAAGTAGCAATAGTGGCCTTTTGTGTTTGGTTTGTGTTTGTGATCATTGGGTTGAGCAGGATTTTGATAAATTAGCAGACTCGTCCAGCCCTGTCATGTAAGTGACCTCAATGGTAGCAGTACCCAAATTGGGACAGTTCTGTTTTAGCTCATCTGTTATAGATGGATGCTCTGTCATGGATAATTTATCCATCCTTCTTGTTTGCCTTTCTATGTGCAGGCCGTTCATAAAATTGAATTGTTTGCCTCTGTCCACACTCATAGTAGGTGCTGGGAGGGATTTGAAAAGTTTGCTGGGTGACATTTCATTGGAAGTGAAAAATGACCTGGGGGTGGAGCCCCAGGGGTGTGTGTGTCAAACCACTGAAAGGGATGGCAACTTTGGCTCTGTAGGGGGCTAATTCATACACAGATAAATGATTTAATTGTAATTAGGCAGCAATTTAAAATGACACTAATAACCCTCAGACCATCTTTATGTTCGCTAACAAAAAGATTCCTGTTTGTCTTTATTTCCCCTAAGTTATGGGTATCTTTTTCTATAAAATATATAAAACCTTTGCCAGATGATTCATTGGTTAAGCCTATACTTTTTAAGCCGTAATTGATTGGGTTTTTATTTAGTAGAAAGGTAGTATATAGCATTGTACACTACACACCCTTCAAAATTTCCTCCATGTCACCTTCCATCATTGTAGTGTGTACTCTGGAGCTGAACTCTGAGTTTAATCCCAGCTCTGCTACTTGTTAGCTGTGTGCCCTTGGGCTGGTTATTGGCTTTCTCTGTACCTCAGATTCCTCATCTGTAAAATGGAGATATTAATAGTGCCTACCTCATAGGGCTGTTGTGAGGATTAAGAGTTGATGTATGTAAACTGCTTAGAATAGTGCCTGGCCATAATTAGTGATATATGACAATGGTATCTGCTGTTTTAAAAATCATAGTGTTGTCCTTCCTGCAAAGCAAATCACTGGTGAGTGGTACACTGTTAAACACCAGTATTATCCAGATTGGGTACCAATGTATTATGGAGTGAAATAAATGTATTTGACAATTACAAGTGAAGAATTAAACTGAACAAAATATCTCCAATGGTCTCATGAACTCTATCAGGTAAACAATAATATGAACACTTAACAGCTGCAAAGCCCTCTGGTACAACGCAGGGTAGGGTAAGAAGAAAGTCAGGAGAACAGTACAAAATGTTAGGAGAAGGAAAAGGATTAAATTGCCACATTGACCTGAAAAGAACTTCTGAAAGGATGGCATTTGGGTCAGGAGTTGAAGGAATAATAGCTTTTTGGTTGTGGAGAAGTTGAATTTCACTATGAGGGTTGGGACCATTCACGTAAATATTGATCAATAGGTACAGATCCCCTGTTATATACCAGGGACTAGACAAAATGCTCAAGATACAGCGTGGAACAGATGACTCTCCTCATAGTGTTTAGTTGTAGAAGAGACTGAAAAGGTGAAAGTCATTGGTAATCCTACTACCCAGTAAAGACCCAATGAATATTTGTTCCGTTTAAAAAAAAAATACACACGTGTATGTAGTTTTCCCCACAAAATTGGGAACATGCTGTGTAATTACACTTTTGTGTTCTACTGGGTTTTTTAAAATACTAAATTACAAGCATTTCCCCATCTAGAAAAAGTACTGATAATATGTAAGATGTCCCAATTTGATAAAATAATTTTAAGATATATAATCTACTGCTTCTAGACCTGTTCTAGAAGTTATTTGTTAAATTATTCTAATTTATAGTCACCTGCTAAATTTAAGCATCTAATTACATGTCCAGTGTAAAATTTAAGAAGTGTGTGCGTGTCTACTGACAGCAAGACAGTTTCCTAAGTGCTCTGTAGGATATGCAGTTTACACCTGATAAGAATAGTAAGAGAAACTTGTCATATTTTGTTATAGTTGAATATTTTCTTTTAATAGATTCTACCCTTCTGAAAGGTGGAGTGTGTATCCTATTATTTGTTCTCAAATTTACCTGTGATGTTTCCCACCTTGAAGCCATGCCTCCTTTCTTCTTTTTTTTTAAATTTTTTATTTTACTTATTATTATTATTATTATTATTATTATTATTTATTATTATTTTGAGACAGAGTCTCATTCTGTTGCCGAGGCTGGAGTGCAGTGGTGTGATTTCAGCTCACTACAACCTCTGCCTCCTGGGCTCAAGTGATCTTCCTGCCTCATCCTCCTGAAGAACTGGGACTGCAGGCCTGTGACACCAAGCCCAGCTAATTTTTTGTATTTTTTGTAGAGACGGGGTTTCGCTATGTTGCCCAGGCTGGTCTTGAACACCTGGACTCGAGCAATCTACCTGCCTCGCCCTCCCAAAGCGCTGGGATTACAGGCGTGAGCCACCCCACCTGGCCTCCTTTCTTTTTACCAGTGTGCAACGTTTAAGTTGGAAAGAGACAACTTGTTAATAGTGTTATTAGACCAGTCCCTAGAGGCTTTTAAAACTGTTATGCAGAATGTACATGTATCTATGAATGTTTTCTGTATTGCCCTCTCCAAAGAGGATGTCTTAGAAGACTAATGCAAGTTTAGGTATAAAATGTGTTAGCAATTTTATTTGTATAGAAGTTTTAATAACATTAATCACATGTTGTGTGATTTTTTGTTTCATCTTATTTTGCGGTTTTTGTTTTATCCAAGTCTATAACCTTTAAGACATCAACATGTTATTTAAATTGTTATGAATTAGTCTAGAATTTGGTTTTCAACCTCTTTTTCTACTCTAACATACCTGCTGGTAGCAGTGGCGCACCATGGCAACCACAGAACTTTGGAGCAATGGTTGTCAAATGTGTCCCAGGACCAGCAGTGGCAGCAGCATCTGGGAACTTGTTAGAAATGCAAATTCTGAGGCTCAGGCTGGACGCGGTGGCTCACGCTTGTAATCCCAGCACTTTGGGAGGCCGAGGCAGGTGGATCACCTGAGGTGAGGAGTTCAAGACCAGCCTGACCAACATGGTGAAACCCCATCTCTATTAAAAATACAAAAATTAGCGGGTCATGGTGCAGGCCTGCCTGTAATCCCAGCTACTTGGGAGGCTGAGGCAAGAGAATCACTTGAACCCTGGAGGCAGAGGTTGCAGTGAGCTGAGATTGCGTCCACTGCACTCCAGCCTGGGCAACAGGGTGAAACTCTGTCTCAAAAAAAAAAAAAATAGTTCTCAGGCTCTACCCTATACCTACTGAATCAGGGACTCTGGGATAGAGCCCAGCAATCTGTATTTTAATAAACCCTCTAGGTGCTGCAAATGCATGCCTGAATTTGACAGCCGCTACTATAGAAGATGAGTGTTTGTAACGCATTACATTGCAACAAGTAATTTCTGAAGAATCTTAGCTATTTGGTTCTAGTAAATTATTTTTTTAAATTTATTTTTGTTTGTTTTTGAGACGGAGTCTTGCTCTGTCACCCAGCCTGGAGTGCAGTGGCACGATCTCAGCTCACTGCAACCTCCGCCTCTCAGGTTCAAGCAATTCTCCTGCCTCAGCCTCCTGAGTGGCTGGGATTACAGGCACCCACCACCACGCCTGGCTAATTTTTTGTTATTTTTGGTGGAGATGGGGTTTCACCATGTTGGCCAGGCTGGTCTCGAACTTCTGACCTCAGGTGATCCACCCATCTCGGCCTCCCAAAGTGCTAGGATTATAGGCATGAGCTACTGCACCCAGCTGGTTCTAGTAAATTATTAGTAGTAGTTAAAGGGCTAGATATGCACCAACACGCCTGGCTAATTTTTAAATTTTTCTGTAGAGGCGGGATCTTGCTATGTTGCCCAGGCTGGTCTCAAATATTTGGCTTCAAGCACTCCTCCCACCTTAGCCCCTCAAGTTGCTGAGATAACAGTTATGGGCCATTGTGCCCAGAAGTTGGTTGAATGTGTAACCACTATCAGTGATTAATCTTTTAGGATACAGATAGAGCCCTTTAGAATCTAGAGAACGTTATAGCACATATATACACACGCTAAGTGCATAATATTTTTATACCATTTCAGGGATTTTGTTGAAGTTGAGATTAGCTGATGGACTCAAGAACCTCTTAACAACCTTAGACTACTTTATGATTTCCTCTTGCCTACAAAGAACCTCTAGCATTTTTGGCTAGGGGAGTGGAGTGAACAGAGGGGAGAAGTGGGGATTTGATAGAGCAAGAGTAGGTACTCAGTTGGCTTCTTCTGTTGGTTTGAATGAAGTGATGGAAGCCATGCCTATGAAATTTATAATAACCTGGAATTTGGAGTAGCAGCAAAAATGTTTAAGTTGGTATCAAATCCCAAAAAGATCCTGTCAGGCAATCATGATGAGTCACATTAGAAAGATGATGGATGTAAAATCCTGCCATTTGGTCCAGAAAGCCAGTGCACAAGTAGAGGAGGGGACATAGCTTAGCCACAAAGTGATGGAGCTTCCTCTGCTAGCCCTTTGTGAGCCAATGGTAAATGGGTGCTAAATAAAACAACTAGGTCTTGAGATACATTAATTGTAAATGTCACAGAACCAGTACTTTCCTCAATGTGGCTAAGATAGTTGATGGTTCCTTTTTCTTCTGCACTGGTCAGACCATATCTGGGCTATGATGTTTGCTTCTGGGCCACACACTTTAGAGGGAAGACAAGCAGCATGTTGGAGTCTGTTTAGGCGAGAGATCCGGCAGGGGAAGGAGTCTTGGTGAATGAGGGGTGGAGGAGCTGCAGGATGGGAATAGAGGCCTGAACTGCTACCATGACATATTCAAAAGGCTGCCGTGTGAAGCCAAGTTATGCTTGTCTTTTGTGGTCCCAGTTGATCACATTAAGACCTCATGGGGCCATAGAAAAGCTAGAGGGAGACTGATTTGGGTTATTCATAAGAAGAACTTTAAGTCTGTTATCTGAGGGTAGAATGAGAGGCATGTTTTAGATTCTTTAGATTCTTTACTCTTCTGACAATCATGTGTTTTTGTAGCTGTTTCCTTGTGGTCATATTAATTCTGGTACCACTTCATGAACCTTTTATTACCCATCTTTGTTTTCTTTTTTTTTTTCCCTTCTTAACTCCCTGTTTAATTTGTGGTGAGGGTGAAAGAGGAGATAAAGAAAAAAAAGGGTCAACTTGTAACTTTGCCTTTTCTTTTCTTTTCTTTTCTTTTTTTTGCCCTCAGTAACTGAGGGCAAACCCATCAGACAACCAGAGCCATAATTTGTGGTCACCGCTGAAATTTACCTTGGAAACTCGGTTAGTATGGCTGTGAAGAGGTATACCCCAGCTCCTTAACACAGAGTTAATGCTTAATCTAAGGTTTTAAGTTTCTTAGAAAAGAAAAACGTGTACATTCTTTTGTTTCTTAAACATCTAATTTTGCCCTCCTCCTCTTCTCTTAGAGGCAATTGCTTTTGGATCGTTCCATTTACAATGGCGCAGAGAACTGGACTCGAGGATCCAGAGAGGTATCTCTTTGTGGACAGGGCTGTCATCTACAACCCTGCCACTCAAGCTGATTGGACAGCTAAAAAGCTAGTGTGGATTCCATCAGAACGCCATGGTTTTGAGGCAGCTAGTATCAAAGAAGAACGGGGAGATGAAGTTATGGTGGAGTTGGCAGAGAATGGAAAGAAAGCAATGGTCAACAAAGATGATATTCAGAAGATGAACCCACCTAAGTTTTCCAAGGTGGAGGATATGGCAGAATTGACATGCTTGAATGAAGCTTCCGTTTTACATAATCTGAAGGATCGCTACTATTCAGGACTAATCTATGTAAGTATTTCTTCCAAATAATCATGTGAAGTGGTAGCTAGGAATTAATGTAAATTATACATCTTGTCATAATCAAATGAGAATGTGGAATACCCAAACTCTCTGTTTAACATTTCTATTTCTCTTTAAGATAGAAAGATTTGTTGCTTGCTTACCCATGTCTTGCTTTTCTTTGAATCTTAACACATTAAGTTTAAATAATACAGGCTGCAATTACATATAATAAAATGGCATTTGAAGACTTTTGTAGTGGTCTTCTGGAGCATAATAAGGTGGGAGAGAGCATGTAACAGGAAGACCAGAAGGTTTAATAAGGTAAAGAGAGTTGCATTAATTGGACGCAGACAGCAAAACGGTCAAAAATCAAGTGCATACCCAAGAGTAAAGTGGAGGGGCTGTAAGCTGAGAAATTTCTGTGGACAGCATGAACAGCTTCACTGGATGTAGTAGGGAAGTAGGAAAGATGAATGCTGAGGTTTTTAAGAGGAAACAATTAGGGTAAGATTGAGGCTGGCTGGGGTCGTCCTGTGGTTAGCAGCTGACATGAATGTTGGAGTCACCGACTTTGTCACTGACCATGTAGAAGAAGTTATTGAAAATCATAAGGGATAATGTAGAGAGGGATAATGTAGAGAGGAAAAATGTAAGCCAGATACTAAAAGAAAAATCTAAAATGACAAAATAGGTTTGAGGGAATGGTAGACAGAGGTGGCAATGATTTGAAGAAGGTGGCACGTGTGGGACTTAAACTGACGATGAAGGGAAGTAGGAAGAAAAGTTGATGGTCGTGGTTTGAAATCGGAAAAGGGGTGTTGAATTTTACACAAGGAGTGTGCTACTGAAGGTCATGAATAATTCAAAACTTCAGTAAATCAGAGCTAGTTTTCCTACAGAATTAGTTTAAGGAATATTTATTAAGCACCCCCTGTGCTCTAGGTGCTGGGGATAGTACAGTGAAGAAGACAGGCCAGGTCTCTCTGCCTTTCTGAAATGTCCAATGAGGAAATGAAACAAGGCTATGGAGAGAGTAAGTAGGAGAATGGCTTTCTCCAGCGGGTCAGTTAAGGGCTGTTTGTGAAGGTAGCATTTGAGCTGGAGTCTGACTGGTGGGAGGCAGCTAGCCACGAGAAAAGCTGAGAAAAGAATGATTCATTCATGACCTTTGCCAGAGTAGTTTCAACCAAGCCTGATAGATCTCCCTTATTTTCTTCTCTATGAGGTAGGAGAGTAAGAGGCCACAGGGTTGGAACGGTGGCTTGAGGAGAATGGAAAGGCTTAGGAACAACCCTTTTCCAATTTCAGACTAAGCCAGGGATAAGAAAGCGACTGGAGAGTGGCGTTGAGAGTCCAGCTGAGATTGAATAACCACGTGTAGGGTGACCGCAATTTTGCCTGGCTATGTGATTTTGCCAGACCATGGGATTGTCTCAGGTCTGTGAGTGTGGGGGGCTTTGGATCTGCATGGCTTCCACAGTGAGAGGGGGATTCAGTGGCCGTCTTTGGAGTCCTCGTTCGGTAGGAATGGGAGTCTGGGTGGGAGGGGCTGATGGATCAAGGCCTGGAAGTTTTCAGAATGTTGAGGAACAGGGATCATGGGGTGAAGGAGTGAGAAAACTGCAAAATTAAGAGGTTATGGTCAGATTGTAATGTCGACATGTAAGATTTGAGAGGTTGATCAGTTTCAGATGAAGCCCATTGCAATAAATTGTGCAGGTATGGAAATGTGATGTCACCATCAAAAACTGTGCAGTGTGAAGAGGAGCCAGGCTGCTTTTCTGCCAGCCTTCACCTTAATTTCCCACACTGGCAGCTGGAGGTAGCTGCAAAGGGTGCTAAGTAGAAAAGGAATGAAAGAAAGGACAGGTGTTTTTTTGTTGTTTTTGTTTTTGTTTTGCAGCCATTCCACATAATTCAGAGATTTTACAGTTATCTCTTACTGAGTTTGTTGGATTTTTTTCCAACTTAACTCATGGACAACCTGAGTGAACTTCTGAGTTTCTTTTCAAAGCACAGCCTCCTTCTACAGGAGAATCTGAGTTTTTCTCAAAGTCTCAAGGTCACACAGAGGTCGGGGTTTGGGAGGATCATATCTTCAATTAGTTGGGTGGAGAAAGGGTTCTTACCTAAGGTTCTAGTTGGAGAACTTGACTCCAAAGAAGTCTGTGTCGTTAAGAGGATGGGGATGGGGAGAGCCATGCTAGCATTGTGATAAATATGTATTGGGCTTTGGAATTAACCAGCCAGTTGGGATGATCAGTTGAGGTTCAATAATATAGATACTAGAATAATTTGGGTAGAACCTTTTTTGGACATATTTCTATAGATAAGATATAACATAAATTTATTTAAACAAATTAGCTTGCTAACAGGTTTAGTTATTTTATTTTCTTACCTTTTCTTTGGATTTATTCTCTCTGACCCCCAATTTCTCAGGTCATTAATTTTCATCTTCTTTCCTAATAAAACAGTTTAAAAACTGTAAATGTCTTCTCTAATACTGTTTTAGCTCACATCACAAGTTTCTATATGTAGTATTTAGTCTTCAGTTCTAAATATTTTCTAATTTCTATGATGATTCCTTTAGTGAACCATTTAAAAGTGTATTTGTAAAATTTCAAAATGTTGATTTTTAAGTTATCTTTTTATTATTCATTTTTAAAATAATTACATCTCAATCACAGAATATTGTTCATATAGGAGACTTTTTTGTGTAGTATATTGTCAGCTTTTATGAGTGGTCTGTGTTTGCAAAGAATGTGTATTCTGTTACTGTTGGATATAGGGTTCAATATATGGCTGTTAGATTAAGCTTTTTAACTGTATTGTTTATATCTTCCATAGCCTTGCTACTTTTTGTCTGCTTGATTTGTCAGTTACTGAGAAAAATGTGTGAAAAATCTCCCATTGTGGTTTATCAATGAAGTATGCATCCCTAAATGACAATTTAGTTTTGCCTGTTTTTGATTTTGTTTTTTTTGGGACAGAGTCTTGCTCTGTCGCCCAGGCTGGAGTGTAGTGGTGCGATCTCGGCTCATCGCAACCTCCGCCTCCCGGTTCAAGTGATTCTCCTGCCTCAGCCTCCCTATCAGCTAGGATTACAGGCTCGAGCCACCACACCCAGATAATTTTTTTGTATTTTTAGTAGAGATGGGGTTTCACCATGTTGGCCAGGCTGGTCTTGAACTCCTGACCTCAAGTGATCCACCCGCCTTGGCCTCCCAGAGTGCTGTGATTACAGGCATGAGCCACCGTGCCCTGCCTAGTTTTGCCTGTTTTTGAATTTTTATATAAATGAATCTCATAGTGTGTAGCCTTTTGTGTCTTTTGTTGTTGTTGGCTTAGGATTACATTTTTAAGATTTATTCTTACTGTTTTACGTTGATGTAACTCAGTAGTTCCCAAAGTGTGGTCTGGACCCCCTAGGATTTCCCTGAGACCCTCTCAGGGGAGCACACAAGGTCAAAACTATTTTTATAACAATACGAATATGTCATCGGCCCTTTTTACTGTTGATATTTGTAGTGACGGTTCAAAAGCAATGATGAATAAAACTCCTGACGCCTTATCATGAATAAAGGCAGTGTACTAGTACCAAACTGTACTAGCACCATTTTATTCTTCACTGCCACTTATTGGCAGTTTAAAAAAAATGCAGTTTCACTCAAGAATGTCCTTGGTAAAGCAGGAAAAATAATTGATTTTATTAAATCTCAACCTTTGAGAACACATCTTTTTAATATTCAGTGTGACAAAATGGTAAGTATGCCTAAAGGACTTTTGATGCATATCAATGTATGATGGTTGCCTTGAGGACGAGCATGTGGGTAGTTATTTGAGTTGCAAGCTAAACTTGCTACTTTTTAAGTAGAATGCTATTTTCATTTGATAGAGTGGCTGATAAACTATGGTTACTCACACAGAGGTATTTGGCAGACATTTTCTTGAAAATGAACAAAACGAGCCTGTCACTTCAAAGAAAACAACCGACTGTATTTGTTGCCAATGGTAAAATTTGAGTTTTTATGTGAAAATTAGAATTTTAGGAAACTTGTATCTAGCACCATGAACTTGACAGCATGTCAATACTTAAAAACCTTTCTGATATGATAGATGGTGATAATAATGAAAGTGGGTTTTTTTGATGTCATACAGTAAAATGTCATCATTTGAAAGACTTGCATATTTAGTGAGCCAGTATTCTCCAGATGATGTGTGTATGGTGTTATGAAATCATGCATGGGTAAAAAGACTTGTTCAATACGCAAGGTAAACCGTAGATTTTGATGCAGTGGAATATGAGAAGTTCACTGATAGGGTTTCAGATGCTACACTACATCTAATTTTTAAGAAATTATCACTTGTTGGCCAGTCGCAGTGACTAACGCCTGTAATCCCAGCACTTTGGGAGGCCAAGGCAGGCGGATCACCAGAGGTCAGGAGTTCGAGACCAGCCTGACCAACATGGAGAAACCCTGTCTCTACTAAAAATACAGAATTAGTCAGGCATGGTGGCACATGCCTGTAGCCCCAGCTACTTGGGAGGCTGAGGCAGGACAACCCAGGAGACAGAGGTTGCAGTGAGCTGAGATCGTGCCATTGCCCTCCAGCCTGGGCAACAAGAGCGAAACTCCATCTCAAAAAAAAAAAAAAGAAAAAAGGAAATTATCATGTTAAGTTTTAGTAGTATCAAAGATAAATATCCATGGTTATCTGAAAAGACTGTTAAACCGTTCCTCTCTCTTCCAACTAAATATCTGTAAGTCTGCTTTGCTTTTCTTCATATGCTTCATCCAAAACAACGTATTACAGTAGACTGAATACAGAAACAGACATGAAAATTGAGTTGTTTTCGATTAAGCCAGACAATAAAAGTTTTGCAAGAATATAAAACAGTGCCATTCTTCTCACTTTTGTTTTGGAAAATGAAAAGTTATTTTTCGTAAGAAATGTTATTTATGTTAACATGTAATGTATTTATTGTTTTAGAATAAATAGATATTTATAAAACTTTATATTTTATATGAAACAAAAGGTCTTTGGGGTCCTTAATAATTTCTAAGAGTGCAAAAAGGCTGTGAAATTTTAAAAGTTTGAGTAGTTTATTCATTTTTGTTGGAATATAGTATTCCATCATAATATTTTTGACCCAATGAATTTATCTGCCTACTCCACTGTTTTGTACATTGTTTTTTTCTCTGTTTGTAATATTATGATCATTGCTTCAATGAACAGCCATATACATGTACTTGGTGCACAGTAAGCATGCCTTTCTGTAAGGTGTGTAACTAGGAGTGGAATTCCTGGATGATAGGATATGCATATCTGTAACTCATATCTTCAGCTTTTCTAGATAATGTCTGATTTAGTTGGAGTTCCAGAAGGAAACAGAAGGCTCTCAAACGAGGTATTTGAGAGTTTAATAAAGGGTAGATTTACAAATAATGTGGGTAGGGTTTAAAAAATAAATGAGGACTAGTGCAGTATCTCAGCACTAGTGATGACTGAGAGCCCTTGAAACATCTTGCTCTTTAAAGAAGCATTAGGAAAGAGCTGTTGCCTCAACTCAGAGAGGTACCTATATGGAGAGGGCTACCTGATAGGAATTGCCTTCCTTAGAGGCATGAAAGGCAGCTCATGGTGGGGAGAGAACCTAGGGCATAAATATCCTGACCTTCTCTTCTCACCCTTAGTCTCCTGCTGATGTCTCCCATTGGTTGAACTCAGTTTGAAGCCAGAGGGGAAGGGAATTTGATGATCCTTTTCTTAGGGTCAGCCTCAATTCCATCTAGAATTGAATATTGTGTATGGTGTGAGGTTGGGGCAAGATTCTTTTTTTTTTTTCCATATGGCTAGCCAGTTAACCCAGTGCCATTTACTAAAACATAATCCTTTCTCCACTGCTCTGAAGGGGCATCTTAGTCATAAATCAGGGTTCATAAGTATGTTTTTGACTCTGTTGTATTTCCTGGGTCTGTGTGCCTATCTTTCAGCTAATATCACATTTTCTTACTTATTACAGCTTTATAATGTGTCTTGGTATTTAGTGTGGTAAATCCTCTATTTTTTGTTCTTTAGGATTGTTTTGGCTGTTAAGTTCTTAGCATTTCAATATAATTTTAGAATCTGCTTGTCAGTTTTTCATTTACACACACAACCTTGTTGAAATTTTGATTGGGATCTTACTGATTCTGTAGATCAGTTTGGGAGAGAAATTAGATCTTTATAATATTTTATCTTTAATTCCTGGGTAAACTCATTTATTTAGTTCTTAATTTTTATTAATATTGTTTTATAGTTTTCTTTGTAGAGGCCAGGTACATCTTTTGTTATTTATTTTTGGGTATTTTATTTTATTTGAATATTATTTAAATGGTGTTTAAATTTTTCCCTTATTATTCATATGGTATATAGATAATATGTACATAATTGTTATCATTATGTAGAAATACTGTATTTTTTACAATTAATTTTTGTATATTGACTTTATCTTCAGTGACCTAAGTTTACTTATTGGTTATTATAGTTTAGCCGAAAATTCTGTTGGATTTTCTATGAGCACACATGTTGTCCACAAATAATGAGTTTTATTTTTCACTAAATCTTATACTTTTTTTTTTTGGAGACAAAGTTTTGCTCTGTCACCCAGGCTGGAGTGGAGTGGGATACTCATGGCTTACTATGGCCTCAACCTCCTGGGCTCAGGCGATCCTCCCACCTCAGCCTCCCGAGTAGCAGGGACCATAGGCATGTACCACCATGCCTGGCTGATTTTTGTATTTTTGTAGAGACAGGGTTTCGCCATGTTGCCCAGGCTGGTCTCGAACTACTGGGCAAAAGCAATCCGCCTGCCTCAGCCTCCCAAAGTGTTGGGATTATAGGCGTGAGCCACCATGCCCAGCCAGTTGACACACATTTCTTTTACTTGCTTTATTGCACTGTCTAGAATTTTCAGTACAATGTTTTTTGAACAGAAGTGATAATCAGAGGCATCCTTGTATCAGTCCTGATCTCAGAGGGGAAACTGTCAACATTTCATCATTAAGAATGATATTTGCTGTAGTTGGTGTTTTTTTAAATACTGATTCTTTATCAGATTAAGGGAGATTTTCTCGTATTCCTGAATGGGTGATTTTTTTATCCTGAATGGTTGATTTTTTAAAAATTAATGAATGTTAATTTATCAAATGTTTTTCCATTATTCAATGAGATGATAATGTGATTTTTCTTCTTATTTTGTTATTGTGGAGAATTGTGCATATTTTTGAGTGTTAAATTAACCTTGCAAGGACCAAATATTCTTTATATGTACACAAAGAGAGAGTGAGATTCCTAGATTCTGTTTGCTAGTATTTTGTTTAGGATTTTTGCATCCTCATTCATCAGTGAGATTAACTTAAAATTTTCCTTTCTTATAATATCTTTGTCATATGTTGCTATCAAGATTATGCTGGTTATATCAAATGAATTGGGAAATGTTTCATCTTTGTTCTCTGGAAGAGTTTGGCTAGGATTGATGTTATTTCTTTTTAAAGTAATGATAGAGTTTTCTTTGTGGGAAAGTTTTTCTATAATAGATACAGAACTTTTCAGATTTTTATTTGTATCAGTGTTTCTTTTTTTTTTTGAGATAGGTTCTCACTCTGTCACCCAGGCTGGATTGCACTGGTGCAATCATAGCTCGTGCAGCCTTGAAGTCCTGGGCTCATGTGATCTTCCTGCCTTAGCCTCCCAAGTAGCTGGGACCACACCCGGCTAATTTCTGTATTTTTTAATAGAGATGGGATTTCACCATGTTGGCCAGTCTTGTCTCAAAACCCTGAACTCAAGCAATTCACCCACTTTGACCTCCCAAAGTGTTGGGATTACAGGCATGAGCCACTGCTCCTGGCCTTGTGTCAATTTTGATAATTATGTTTGTCTAGGAATTTATCTGTTTCATCTAAATGTTCAAATTTATTGGTATAAGTTGTTCATAATATGCTTATTTTCTGTAGGATTAATAGTCATGTTTTCTTTTATTCCTGATACTGATAACTTATTTGTATTACCCTTTTTTAAAATGAGTGTCACCAGAGGCTTATCAATTTTTTTATTCTTTGCAAATAATAGACTTTTGACTTTGTTGGTCCTCTATATGTGTGCTTTAAAAGCCATAAATTTCATTCTAAGTACTGCTGTAGCTGTATTCTACAAGTTTTAATATGTTGCATTTTTATTAGCATTCAGTTGAAATTAATGAGGATGTTTTCTTTGACTCTCTGGGTAATTTAGAAGTGAATTGCTTAGGCTGGGCACAGTGGCTCATGCCTGTAATCCTAACACTTTGGGAGGCCCAAGTGGATGAATCACTTGAGGCCAGTGTCAAGACCAGCCTGGCCAAAATGGTGAAACCCTGTCTCTACTAAAAATACAAAAATTAGCCAGGTGTGGTGGCGTGTGCCTGTGGTCCCAGCTACTCGGGAGGCTGAGGACAGAGAATAGCCTGAACCGGGAAGGCAGAGGCTGCAGTGAGCCGAGATTGCACCACTGCACCACTCCAGCTTGAACAACAGAGCGAGAATCCATCTCAAAAAAAAAAAAAAAAAAAAAAAAAAGAAGTGAATTGCTTACTTTCTAAATCTAGGGGATCTTCAGGTTTATTTTATTATTTCTAATAGATTCCCCCCTTGGTCAAATAACATGCCCTGAATAATTTCAATTCTTTTATATTTGTTAGACTTGCTTTATGGTTCGTTATGTGATTAATTTGGTAAAGGGTTATTATGCACTTGAAAAATACATATACTTTATTATCTGTTGTTTCAGTTACTGTGAAAATCCCTTCCTTTTTAGTTCTGTCCATTTTTGCTGTGTACATGCTGAAGCTATTATCACGTATATACAGATGTAGAAATTTGATGTCTTTCTGGCAAATCATGGAATGGTCATTTTTAGTGATGTTGTTTTCTTGCAAAATTGACTGTTGTTTTCTTGCAAAGTCTGATATTTGCATTAGCCTTTTTTTTTTGGATTAGTGTTTGTGTGGTTAATTGCTTTCTTAACTTACTTTCAGCTTTTCTGTGCCTGTGCCTTTAAAATATGTCTCTCATAAACTGCTTATGGTGGTTATTTTTGTCCCAAATCTGACAATATTTTTCAGCTGGAATATTTAGTTTATGTACATGTGATGTAATGACTGTTACATTTTAGCTTAAATCTGTCCTCTGATTCATTGCTTTCTTTTTATCCTACCCGCTCTATGTTTATTTTTTAATCTTTTTGTCCGTTGGTTATAATTTTTATTATTCTGTCTTTTCACCTCGTGTTAGCTGTCCATTTTTGCTATTTGCTTAGCTATTCTTTTAGTGGTTACATATTCCAACATGGATCCTTGACCTGTTAGACATGTGGAGCTCTTATTCTTTTGTAGATCATGATAGGTAGGGCCTGAGAGCACCTGAACAAATTTATTTCCTCTTCCTTCCTAATTTATGTGCTTTTGTTGTTTAATTCTCTCTATATTTTAAAACCCACAAGACACATATTACATTTTAATACTGTCGATATTCATTTAGTTTTATCCATTACTCTTTTTTTTCCACATCTTTTAGCTTCCGTTCTTTTAGAAAGGGCCCCTTTTATCTGAAGTATCTACTCGTCCTTTATTTTTGAAGTTTTTTTGGTTTTTGCTGGATTTGGAATTCAGAGCCGGCGGTTGTTTTCTTTTAACATTGTGAAAATGCCATTGCATCGGGTTCTGCCTTTCGTCTTTTTCTGTTGAGAATTCAGCTTGTAGTTTGATTGTTGTTCCCTTGAAGGTCATCGGTTTTCCTTTTCCCACCCCGGCCACTGGCTGTCTCTAAAATTTTCTCTGTCTTTGGATTTCAACACTTTTACTGTGATGGGCTTAGGTAAAGTTTTATTTTGTATATAGTGGGTCCTCCTTGTCTTCAAGGGATACATTCTAAGATCCCCAGTGGATGCCTGAAACCACAAATGGTACTGAACCATATATATATGATGTTTTTTCCTATACATACATACCTATGATAATTTTTTTTTTTTTTTGAGACAGAACAGAGTCTCCCTCTGTAGCCCAGGCTGGAGTGCAACGGTGCAATCTCGGCTCACTGCAACCTCCACCTGCCAGTTCAAGCAATTCCACTGCCTCAGCCTCTTGAGTAGCGGGGATTACAGGCGTGCGCCACCACGCCTGGCTAATTTTGGTATTTTTAGTAGAGACGGGGTTTCACCGTGTTGGTCAGGCTGGTTTTGAACTCCTGACCTCGTGATCTGCCCCCTCCTTGGCCTCCCAAAGTGCTGCGATTACAGGTGTGAGCCACCGCACCTGGCCATACCTATGATAAAATTTAATTTACAATTTAGGCGTGGTGGGAGATTAACAACAATAACTATTAAAATAGAGCAATTAAAACAATATACTTAATAAAAGTTATGTAAGTGGTTTCTCTCCCTCTTTCAGAATATCTTATTGTACTCTTCTTGTGATGATTTGATGAATTTCTTTTTCCTAGTTCACAAATTCACAGATAGAAGATTGATTCTTCCCATAGATCCTAGCAGCCTCAGCATATGATTTTATCGTTATTAAGTTGAAAACTTACCATATCACTTAAAGGAAGCACTTTGTGGCTTCTCTTTGGCATATCAGAATTGCCAGCATCACTACTCTTGTGCTTGGGGCTATTCTTAAGTAAAATAAAGGTGACTTGAACACAGTTGATCTGAGATCTGAGAGGGCTACCAAGTGATTAATAGCTGTACAGCATGATGATGCTGGACGAAGGGATAATTCACGGTCTGTGCACGATGGAGCGGAATTGTGCCAGATTTCATCACACTACTCAGAATAGTGCACAATTTAAAATGTATGAACTGTTTATTTCTGGAGTTTTTCAACAAATATTTTTGGACCACAGTTGATTGTGGACAACAAACTGCAGAAAGTGAAACCACAGATAAGGGGCACTACTGCATTCAGCTTGGAGATTGTAGTGGTTTTGACTCTGTGGCTTGATGGCTTTTGTTGGTCCGGGAAAATTCTTAGCCATTATCTCTTCAGATACTGCTTCTGCCTCATTCTCTTTTTTCTCCTTCTTGGACTCACATACTTCACATGCTCCAGATCGTTTCACCTCGTCCCATCTGGGTCTCACATTCCTCTACATTTTTATCCTTGTTTTTCCCCCATGGATCACTCTGGCTGTTTGCCTCTGATTAAAATGCCGTGTAACTAATTGTTTCTTCAGCTGTATCTAGCTTGCTGTTTAACACATGAATTCTTAATTGTAGTTACTGGTTTTCTTTTTTTGTTTTGTTTTGTTTTGTTTTGTTTTTCAGTTTTAGAATTTTCATTTGGGTTTTTCCTTTAATAGTTTCCAGTTCTCTGTCAGAATTCTCAGTCACGTCTTTAATTACTTGAACATATTGTAACCCAGGGCAATAATACAAGTCAATAAAAATAGACACACAGAGGTTCCAGATATTATCTTGGATTTCAGCCACAACTTGTTGCCTCATATGCCCAGTTATTGTGTACAAGGAATTGTGGAAATAGTTTGAGACTCTGGCTGGCATTAAGCTTATTCTAGAGTTTTGCTTTGGGCAGGCAGGCTTAGGGAAACTAGGACATGTAGTCCATGCAGGAGTTGACTTCTGTTCCAACTGGGCTTCACGCTGTGTGAGGGCTGGTCTGTTTCTCATATAGTCTTAACTCTTAGGGTGTAGCCATCAGGGTCCCAGCTGAAAGCTTGGGGTATTTACCACCGCCACACCAACCTCTTCCTGAGTAGACTGGAATGTTTTAATTTTTGTTCTCTTAGACTTTTGTGCTGCTGAAAGCTCTGCTTAGCATCTTCTCAGCAACGGGTTTTGGGATGCATAACTATTATCTATCTAAGAAAGAAATAACAATTCTCTAATCATCAAATATTCAGTTACTTTTCTTATTTTCCTTTTGTCTCATAAATAATCTCATAAATAGTTGGTCTGTACAATTCAGGATCCAAACAAGGTTGACATATTGAGATTGGTTGCTTAGTCTGTTTTGTGTTGCTATAACAAAATAACACAGATTGTATGATTTATAAACAAGAGAAGTTTATTTGGCTTATGGTTCTAGAGGCTGGGAAGTCCAAGGTCAAGGGGCTGCATCTGGTGGGGCCTTCTTGCGGCATCATTCCATGGGAGAAGGCGGAAGGGCAAGAAGAGCATGCTCAAGAGAGAGCAAGAGATAGAATTTATAGCCACAAGCCCTTTTATAATTGGCATTAATCCATTGATGAAGGTGGAGCCCTCATTATCTAAGCACCTCTCAATAGGCCTCACCTCCCAACATTGTTGCACTGGGGATTAAATTTCCAGCACATGCTTTTGTGGGGACACAGTCAAAGCATAGCAATTGTTATATCACTTTTAATCTCTTTCTCTCCCCTCTTTTTATTTATTTTTATTTATTTTTTATTTTTTTTTGCTTCTGGAGATAGGGGTCTCACTATATTGCCCAGGCTAGTCTTGAACTCCTGAGCTCAAGTGATCTTCCCACCGTGGCTTCCCAAAGTGCTGGGGTTACAAGCATGAGCTACCATGCCCGGCCGCTTCCCCCAACCCTTTTTTTTTTTTTTTTTTTTTGCAATCCTATGGTGCTCCCTATAAACTGGAAGGAGAAAAATCCATAAATTGGATCCAGAGGCTTAAACGGATTCAGATTCAGGAGACACTTAATGCTACATTGTCTCTCACTTTATGATGTTGAGATTGATCAGTAGTGAGTCATTTTAGGTTTTGCCAGCCTGGTTTGTGCATGAGGAGTGGCCTCATCTGCCAGTCACCTAAAAATTTTAATAGTGATGGGCATTGTGCAGATCCACTGTGGCACTGGGAGCTGCAAAATGGTGAGTCCAGTGCCATTATTCCTTCTGCGTTTGTTAGCTTAGCGAATTCCTTTTAATTCAATGTGTATTCCTCCACACACACAGTTTTCTCAAGTTTTTTTTTTTTACAGAGTGTTTTTGCTATTTTCTCTCAAAGAAGCAATAGCAACTAATGTTAGTTATCCTTCCTCTGCCCTCTATGTATTATTATTACTGATAAGTTTTGCCTTTGTAACGTCATTTTCTTTTATTATTTTACCATTGTTCTATTTTTCTTTAAGAAGGATGCTCTCCTATAATAAATGTCTGCTCTTATCACTTGATTTCCTGAGGTATCCATTCTGCCCTTTATTTTCTCCACTGTGGATTTTAATTTTACGTTTTCAGATGATTCCTTACAGTCTTTTCTGGCCCTGGTCACCTATTTTTTTTCTTATGCATTTCTGTCCTAATACGTAGACTCTATGTTATACTATATTCTGTTACAGATATAAATCTGTCTCCTAAAGTTTTCTTTTAGTTATTTTATAGATAATTTCCACAGGTAATTTATTTCTGAATCCTCTGAATGATGATCTTATTATTTAGGTTTTTTTTCAAAATTTGCATGTGAATTTTAACTAGGTGCAGTGTTTGCAGGTGGTATGGGTGAATTATTCTTTCCTTCCTCCCTTTCCTTCTCGATGGTGGTCTGATTTCTTCTGAGAGCTACAGTTGGGATGTAGGGTTACATGATATTCCCAGTTCAATCCCTGTTCGTAGTAGGAGACTATTGTATCTCTGCTCCATTGCGTTGACATTTGCACCAGCCTACACTTCCTGTTTCTCTAATCCTTTGAACCTATGAAACAATGCATATACATAGCCCTGCTTTCTTAAACAGAGGCCGGGCACTTCCAGGCTGAAAAATTTCCCAATCGGCTGGGCGCGGTGGCTCATGCCTGTAATCCCAGCACTTTGGGAGGCCAAGGCGGGCAGATCACGAGGTCAGGGGATCGAGGCCATCCTGGCTAACACAGTGAAACCCCGTCTCTACTAAAAATACAAAAAAATTAGCGGGGCGTGGTGGCAGGCGCCTGTAGTCCCAGCTACGCGGAAGGCTGATGCAGGAGAATGGCGTCAGCCCGGGAGGCGGAGCTTGCAGTGAGCCGAGATCGTGCCACTGCACTCCAGCCTGGCGACAGAGCGAGACTCCGTCTCAAAAAAAAAAAAAAAAAAATTTCCCAATCATAGACAGAGGAAGATGGGCATTCCAGGCAGAGTGGTCAGCATAGGTGGGAGCCTGGAGGCATAAAGCAGCATAGTGGGCTTGAAAATTTGTAAATGTTTCCAACTGCAAATATTTTTGTATGTCTCCCTTAGGTAAAGTATACAGTAGTGTTATTATGCAAACTTAACCTTTCAGGCCTTTGCAGCTCTTCAGGATTTTCCCAAGGCTCTGGCAATCCAATATTTCCAGCTGCCCAAGAGGCATCCTGCTTGGCTCACCCACCATACCACAGTGTCAGTACATTAAAGGGATTTGTTATCTTTTCCCACAAATCAGTTGTTTTTCCTTCCACGAATAATGTTTCTGTAAGGCCTGGAGACCTTGGAGTCCTCTTTGACTTCGGTCTTTAATGGCTTTTCTGTGTTGAAAGTTTCTGAGCACTGTGAAGTCCCGGCCTTCTCTGTTTTGTGTTGCCTTTTCTGTCATCTAGGCCCTGTTGTGCCAAGGACCGTTGAGCAGTCTCCACGTGTCTTCCTGCTTCTCACCTTTTGCCCCTTCAATGTGTTCTCCGTATGGCTGCCAGATTTGTACTTTGTCTGAAATGCTTATTTCATCCAATCACTTTTCTCTCCTGAACCTTCAATACCTCATCACCCATAGATGACAAAATCCGAATTGTTCAGTTTGTTTTTTTAGGCCCTTGTCGCTCACATTCCATGGTACAAACTATTTTTGCTATGCTGGTCTTCTCGCACTGCCTCGAGTATATCCTGCCACTGTAAGAGTTTTGTGCTTTTACTACTTTAATAGGAATTCCTTTATCTCTCCTTTTGACCCCATAGTCTTTAAAAAGAACATCAAAGACCATTTGGGTCTGCATTTTTTACCTTGTTCTACAGTCTCTGACAAGGTGGTCATGACTTTCAGTGCCTGGGGTTTGTTGTGTTCTGCCCCAGAGCTTTCTGTTATTTATAATACCAGTTCATCTTTCTCTTTCTCTTTTTGGTGCTTTGCATTGTAGCTTGTTTAGTGTGCGTCTATTTGTCTTCATGCCCAGAGTGTATGTTTCTTAAAGAAGCTTAGTATCTTCTGTGTGTATTCAAATACTTAGTTAAGTTCATTTGAACTTTAAGGTCTCCAGAATAATTTTAACAACATATTGCCTTCCTACCATGTGTCTGGGGGAAGACAGAACTGGTGCAGTATCTATTCAGTGATCAGTTTATACAAGAGCTCAATACTTGTGCTAATTTTTTAGGTAGTTAGAAGTTAGCTCTTTAAGCACTTTAATAATGTTCCTTCTTAAGCATTGATTACTGCTCCATTTTGGCAAGCATGGGATACTGATGATTAGTTAACCTTTTATATTTTTGATGATGAACTCATATTTGTGAGACTTATTCTCTCTTATTGTAGTCCTCAGGTAAGTACCTAATGCATGGTAGACACACATGTTGGAATTACTTCTGATTAAATGTGTCAGTTATTATCTGTTACCATGCCATACGTGCTATGGGACACTAAACTGAATTTGTGTATTTTCGTTTTCTTGGAGCTTTTTTACTTTCTAGTCTCTAATTACATGCCTTTTATAAAATTGAAGAGTATAATCTGTAGCTTCCTTATAGACTGTGATCTCATTTTTGAATGAAAAAGTGAGGGTGGTTGTACAAAAATTCATCAATGTATGGTTGCGATTTGTTAACGTTATATAAATTAAACTCCTAAAAAGGTATTGAGGTTGCCTCTCCTTTGTTTTTCTCAGCCTTAATAAAGCCTTTATTTTTATTGTTCCTCATTGCCCTTTTGTCCTGTGGGCAGCAAAGAAATACGGGACTAGATAGACAAGAGACTTGATTGGGAGAAAGTGCAAGGTGTTGGTCTGGGAACCCCAAGGGCCAGCCAGGGTTTGCCAGGTCTGTACTTTGCATACAAGAAGGCCAAGAGTCTGAAGACTTGAGGAGTCTATAGTAATTAGTACAGTCTCAGGCAAAGAACGAACAGATAACCTCCTGGTCTGCTCAGTAGTAAGGCTTCAGCAAACAGCCCAAATCTGAATTTAGGATAAGGGCCCTTTGCCCCTTCTAAACTGCTAACCTAAGTAGGAAGTGCGTTCCACATCTGAGCCTGCAATTGTGAGTTCAGGAAAATACAAGGCGGGCAGCCAGAGAGACAGTTCTGATCACTTGAAATTTTTTGGCAGGCTTTCATTCTCTTGGTTTAGCATTAGTAAACAGAGTAGTCTCTGGAGAGCTTTCTGGTGGCAATTGCTGGGGGTTTCAGCTCTTATGAACACGGCTGTTAGTTAGAATCCCCCTTAGTGTTCCCTGGGGAAGCTGGCCATACAGTACCAATTCTCCAGCCTTTTTTCATGTCCTCTTGCTTTTAGATTTTGGTCTACCCAAATCACCTCAAATAAAAGATCTGTTTCATAATGCAACTGAGTGCCCTTCCAGATGCCTTCAGTCCCTTAGAGGGTTAGAGCATCTGTCAGCGGTTCTGACTGCTCTTGTTTTTCCGTAGTGCCCAGAATCAGTTTTGTAGAATATTCTCAGAAATCATTCTGTCTACATTTAAAAAACCCGCAAGTCATAAGCATTCATAGGGTCAATTCTGTGTAATTGATAGTATTGATCAGGAAAAGTTTGTATTTTCTAGCCTAGCAGCTTTTATTTACTGAAGATCCATCCCAAAGAGCTTTTGTTTATTTGGCTTATGTTTATTGATATTTACTGTATCAGTAATTAAAATACATTTTAAATCTTTATTAATTCATTTAAAAAGAATAGTAGTTAATCATGACAAGTTAACATAAGTAAATACATTTTTAAGAAAAAAAAATCCCTGTATTTTCCAAAACAAAAAAAAATTAGACAGATGAAAACTCTTACATTTTTACAAATCTCTTTAGTATTAACCAAACATAGCTGGAATCTCATATCTGCTTTTGCATTCTGTTTTCTTATAACATGTCATTTTGGGTAAGGCATATGAAGAAAATCCAGCCATGGAGATATTTAGTTGGAAAAAAAGAAGAGTGGTTTTTCTTTTGTTTGTTTGTTTGTTTGTTTGTTTGTGATGGAGTCTCACTTTCTTACCCAGGCTGGAGTACAGTGATGCGATCTAGGCTTACTGCAGCCTCTGCCCCCTGGGGTTCAGGCGATTTTCCTACCTCAGCCTCCTGAGTAGCTGGGATTACAGGCGCCTGCCACTGTGCCCGGCTAATTTTTGTATTTTTAGTAGAGACAGGGTTTCACCATCTTGGCCAGGCTAGTCTTGAACTCCTGACCTTGTGATCCACCCTCCTCGGCCTCTCAAAGTGCTGGGATTACAGGCGTGAGCCACCGTGCCTGGCCAAGAAGAGTATTTTAATACCCTTTTTAGATAATTGTGGATATTCTTCTTTGATACTGTACCCAAACTGGACAAATGCTATTTTCTTAAAGATTAATTGCAATATGGAATCTGAAACTGCATTAACGAGCTTTTCATAGCTTGTGTACTCATGAGAGAATGAATGTAAAAAAGTAAATAACATATTGATTGTACCTTATGATAGCCACGTGAAGTCAGGAAGCTCGCATTATTTCTACTTCATGGATGAGGAAATTGAGTCCAGCAGAGTGCCACTTAATAAGCTATCTGTGGGAGAACTACTTGTGGTTCATAGTACTAAATTGCCCATTATAGGCTAAGTTTAATTTGGGGGATAGATTAATTATCCAAAAGGTAAAGATCTCCTGCTTAAATGACTCTTTGGTTTCTGTCTCCTGATTGGACCCTGATTGATAAATGCAGAGGTTTTTTTTTTAATACTCTATTTTATTTTTATTCTAGACTTATTCTGGACTCTTCTGTGTAGTTATAAACCCTTACAAGAATCTTCCAATTTACTCTGAGAATATTATTGAAATGTACAGAGGGAAGAAGCGTCATGAGATGCCTCCACACATCTATGCTATATCTGAATCTGCTTACAGATGCATGCTTCAAGGTAATTGGAAATATTTGAATACTAAATGCTCAGAATTTCTTAAATGTAATTTACTGTTTTTTAATGTCTCAATGTATTCTACAAAAGTTAAATTTTATTTTTTTAAAATTAATAAAAAAGTAATGTTTATTGTAGAAAAATTGAGTTTTTAAGATTAAAACAGACAACACAGCCATTTTCTGTAAGTATGATAAGTATGTTTGTTGCTCTAAAACAATACCTCATAAATTTGTATGTTAAAAAGCATCTAGTTTTCATATACATTTGATTCCCACCACAAGGCGGTCTAACCAAAGCTCATTATATTAGGTTTTAAAACCAATAGGAAGAATAATAGGAAAGGTAGATGCTGCACTGGGGAAAGAAAAATTGTAAAGTATTATTTGTGATTTAAATGCATGTAAAAGGGTGACAATAAAAGTTAAAAAGCATGTGTTAAGTTGGTTGATTTTGATTGTATTCCTTTGGATCAGAATGAATATAAATTTGAGGAGTCATTCATTTGAACCCTGGCTTTAGACACAGTGATTTATGGAGGGACATTTTTAAAAGACCGGAATGTAGTGGTTTTGAATGCAATTAATATTATTGCTCTACAAGACTTCATTTAAACATGGGAGTTCCTGGTGCTACGTGAAAACCCAATCTTCTGTAATAACTCTCCCTCTCTCTCCTTTTTAATGTATTTTTTGTTACTAAATTCTATAAGTTTTAATAAAAAGCATAAGGTTCTTATAAAATCGTTCCACAATCTTCAGAAAACGGGCTGTGCTGCACCCACTTTTCATCAAATTGCAGGTCATGGCAAGTTCTTTTTGGTGATCAGGTCTGAAGGATAGTGTGAAGGAATTAATAAAGTACAATACCCACGTCCTACTTCTAGTTTTTGTTTGGATACTTATTATATACCAGATCTTCCAGGGCAAACAGGAGGTGCTTCAAGACTAGAATAGTGTCATACATAAGTTGGTAAGGACAGTTTTGTAATTTAAAAATGAGCTTAGGCTTTTAAAGAAAGATTAAATTTAATAATCTTTTTTTGGAGTTCAATACAATTTCTTAGTATTCTTAGGGAATACTAAGAAATGGCTAGGACTGTGAAAAATTGCTGTTAGAGATGGAGAATGAAGAATCATCCACTCTTTTTGTTTTTGGTTCTGTCTCTGTTAAGAAGAATGATCTTTAGATGCAGAAGAGTGTTTGTATTAGTGAGCAAACTGTGCCATATGTGGGAGAAGAAACAGAAGAAAGCGCTCTCTTTCTCTGATTAAGCCCATATTGTTCCTCATTTAAACAGATAACATCTCACAATTGAGATTGTTGACCCTCTGGTCTTTGATGTATTCTATAGAAGGGGAGTTTCCAGAAAGATGGGGACAGGCTCACATGTATCATTCTAATTTTTTAAAAGGGAAACCTTTAAACCAATCCTTGAGCTTAAAATATGTTAAGAGAACAGTCTGAAAACAATGTGAGTATATTGATTAATGACTGATTAATGACTGAGGTTGACCAGATCTATCCGGATGTGCACCAAAGGGTGTGTGCCCCCTTTTAATATTTTTATCAGCATACTTGAAGAGGTGGGATGCATTCCTGTAAAATTTGTCAATGGCATGAAACTGGGAGGGATAATGATACATTTGATGAAAAGAAACAGGATTTAAAAATCTCTTGACAGGTTGAATGAGGAGTTGAATCTAACATAATAGTTAACAGGGATAAACATTATATCCCATTAGTGGGTTCCCAGACCAGCTGTATGGATACAGTATGAGGAAGAATTGTTGGCTCTGTGGCTTTGCTGGTGAAAACTCCTCTTTAGTAAACAGAATGAGGAAGATATGAGGCAGATGTGGCTTATCAGCATATCATATTATTAATATCATTTTTAGTGCTAGAATAAACATTTATTGAAAATTACTGTGTGTCAAGCACTGGGTAAAGGCTTTGTGTCTTATTTAGTTAATGACAAGCTTGTAAAGTAAATAGAATTACTATCCCTATTTTACCAAGGCACAAGAAAGTTAAATAAATAACTTGACCAACAAAGTGTATATAGTGAAAAATACAAGCTAGGATTCAAAACCAGGCAGTGTGACACATTCTTATCCACAATAATAAACCTCCATGTGAAAGTTAAAAGGAATTAGTTGATGATAGTTTTGATTACATAAAAATTTAAAAGTTTGATACAGAAAATGAAAACAACCCACTCTAAACAATTTCCCTTTGTATTTGATTTTGTAAGTAGGGGGCTACCTGCTGATCTACTACACAACATAATTGAGGGGGCATCTGCAGGGCTAGTCAGACATTAGCATATGCAGCATTGCTGGTAAAGCTCACACCGGCTACCAATGCCAATCAATCTAGGTCTTCAATTACAAATGTGAATGGATAGCTAAGTGTCACTGGACCTAAGAAGAGGATCAGTAGCCTGACCAAGGACCGTGTGGAGAATTCAGAGCACGTGGCCCCACTGATCTATCATTTTAGATTCAATTCCCCATCCAAGCTGCCAAGAGCTTTTAAGATTCTGTTTCTTGGCCGGGCACGGTGGCTCACGCCTATAATCCCAGCACTTTGGGAGGCTGAGGCCAGCGGATCACGAGGTCAGGAGATCGAGATCATCCTGGCTAACACGGTGAAACCCCGTCTGTATTAAAGAAAATACAAAAAATTAGCCGGGCGTGGCAGCACGCGCCTGTAGTCCCAGCTACTCGGGAGGCTGAGGCGGGAGAATGGCGTGAACCCGGGAGGCGCAGTTTGCAGTGAGCCGAGATCGTGACACTGTGGTCCGGCCTGGGCGAAAGAACGAGACTCCGTCTCAAAAAAAAAAAAAAAAGATTCTGTTTCTTGCATGAAATGTATTTATCATCCTTCCTAGTTTCATATCATGCACAAACTTTTTGGTCACACATCCCACATCTTTAAGTGTATTAATAAAAAATATTCAAAAGTTTTTGCTTTTTATGTGAAAAAGCAGGAAGCTAGCTTAATTTTTTTTAAATTGGATTTTAGGGGATACTGTATCAAAATGCAGTTGTGTGCCTGGCACATAGTAGTTGCTTAATAAATATTTGTTGAATGAATGAATGAAAGCAGAGTTCTTAGACGTAAACTTGACTGCAAAAAATCATACATTCATTAAAAGCATGGAATGGTAGATTAGACAGAATTGGAAACTAGAGCAGTAGATTTGAAGACTAGAATGGAGACCAAAAAGAATCAGATGGTGCTTATGAGAGAAGGAGTAGGAAACATGGAATGTATTTGTAGATTCTTGGGTTCCATGAAAAAAGTGATATTTTTGAAAAAGGTCACCTGAACTAAAGACACACTCAGGTGTTCAGATAAAAGTGCTGGGTGGAAATAGTGAAAGGAGATACGCTTCATCTTGCATACCTTGGTGGATAGGGCAACATGACATGGAAAGGGAGTCAGTAGCATCGGGCTTCTCATTTGCAACACTGTGTGTTAGGAACTGAATTTAGGAACACCGAGGCCTCTACCTTGCACATAATCATCTGAGGTCACCTAGGAGTACCCACAGTGAGGCTCACCACCTTGTGGCTTGTCTTCCTTTGTTCCTGATGCCTCACCAGCCCAGTTCCACCCCAGGTAGCTTCCATTCAGCAGCAGGCAACCAACACTGCTACCAACCCCGGTTGACCTGGGTAGATGGAAAGGAAAGTTTTGCTTGCTGTAACAATACCTGCAGGGGCCACTTTTTTAGGCCACAATGAAAATTTAAGACATGAGAGTCCACCATCTTCATGGAATCCTGGAATGAAATTCACTGTGTTTCCAGTCATGTTTTCATTTCCATAATACTCCCTTTTCATTTTTGCCTTAGGTAACTCCCACTCTCTGATGTGCAAACTTTCTGTATGTTTAGTATCTTCAGTGAATATTTTCTTTTCCTTCAAGCTTTAACCGAGACTTGGCTTTCCCCCACATACGGGGTATGAGTCCATTTAGTGAAGAGTGCTCCATCACTCAAATCCTATGCACTGGGAGATAGGGTTAGTGTCCTTACTAACACTGTGTCTATGTGTCTGCTAAACCATTACTCCTTTACTGCCTTGGAAAAGCCGCACCTCCATCACCACTCATTACTTTCAGCAGCTTTCTTCTTGGTTCCTCTCTCACTCCATGATGGGCCCCAGCACGTTGTTTCCTCTCTGCCTCAAGCCTTGCCATTGCCCTGTGTTACTTCATAGTTTTTAATGAACAGTCAAGTCCCTTGATCGTAAGGTCCTTCATATGAATTCCTCCGTCTCTCACTTATGCCACCAACATCTATGGTGATGCTCTAGACTTTGCCATCTTTTAGAATTAACTGACTTTTCAGATAATGTTTCAGTAGTTCTAATGCAGCATCCTTCCATATTGGTAGTCCAATCAAGAAGATTGGACTTCTTAGGAGAAGAGAGTCCAATCTCCTAAATGTGTTCTTTGACTTCATGTGGATCCCCAGCCCATTACTTGTTTTACTTTCCCCCTATATGTTAACAACACCCTTCACTTTCTGCCTTGTATAATTTAGATTTCATGGCCATCTTCTACCCATTTCCTAAACCCCTCCCTTGTCCCGTTGTTCATTGGTTATTCTTGTTTGGTAAAACTCACGCTGGATGAATCAAGATATTTGTCTCTTTTAATGCTGTTACTTGGGTTGCTGATGCTTCTGGAGTTATGCTCACATAATGGAACAGATAAATACCACTGTAATTTCCTGACCGTGAGCCCTGATTCTACACTCAACTCTTGCTAATCCTACCTTGGTCCTCCCACTCTCCATAATGACTATTTCAAACCTCTGCAGGCTCCAGATCTCTGGGTCCCTCCTTGCCCCTCTACTCCCTGGCTGATGGCTTGTTTCCCATTCCACAGAGGCACTGCAGAGAAACTGCCCCAGCTAGATGAACAGATCATTATCTCTTGTGTCTACTCCTGTCAAAGGCTGGTCTTACCTAGTCCTTCACCTCTGATGCTGATCACATCCTCTTAACCTTCTTAAGAATCTCATGGTGTTGATTATTCTGGGTTGTGACTGTATCTTCTGCTTCTCTTTTTATAGGCTCCTAACATTAGCAATAAATTTTCCCTATTAGCTAAAGTTTTACCCGTTACTTTAAATAAGAAAGTTAGTTCCTTCCACCTTCCTTTTACAGCCAGATTTTTCAAAACAGTGTTGCAGATGGGTAGGCAGATATGGTTGCTGGCAGGAGCTTGTGAAAATGAAGCAGGGTTTCAGCTGAGAGTGAGGAGGAGGGAGGAGAGATTGGTGGTTTAAGATAGAAATAGTGTGATGTAGTCATCTAGGAGAGACAGATAATACTTACATGTACATCACTGACATTGCATCAAATATTTAAAACAGTTGCTATTGGAAATGTAAGGAGAATGTGAACCACAGTTATAGAGGGAGTTTTAATATGCTTCTCTCAGAATTTGACATATTAAGTAGGGAAAAAAAGAATATTAAAGAATGTGATTTAATACAACTTAGCAAGCTTATATTGAAAAATGTATGTATGCAAGCAGAAAGCACATTTACAAATGTGGTGTCTATTCCATATAGCAGGCCACCAATAAAAATCTCAGTTCCTGAAAGAAGAAATCACAGGCTACATTCTCTGACCACAGTGCAATAAGACAAGATATTAGCAATAAAAAGATTTCCAAATGGGTTAGTGTTTGTGGGAGTGTGTTTAATGAGTATGAATGTTTTGTTATTAATCACTCATCTATGTGGCTTTTGGTAAAAGAGGAAATCAAAACTTACAGATTCTTTAGAAATCACTACAACAGGCTGGGCACCATGGCTCACGCCTGTAATCTCAGGACTTTGGGAGGCCAAGGTGGGCAGATCACTTGAGCTCAGGAGTTCAAGACCAGCCTGGGCAACATGGTGAACCCCCAGCTCTACGAAAAATAAAAAAATTAGCCAGATGTGGTGGCATGCTTCTATAGTCCTAGCTACTCAGGAGGCTGAGGTGGGAAGATTGCTTGAGCCTGGGAGGTGGAGGTTGCAGTGAACTGAGATCATGCCACTGCACTCCAGCCTGGGCAACAGAGCAAGACCCCGTCTCAAAAAAAAAAAAAAGGTACAAAATGCTACATATAAAAATTTTGTGAGTTATGGCAAAAGCCACTTTTAAGAAATAGTTCATGGCTCTAAACGTTTTCATTAGGAAAGAAAGATTTATAGACAAATTAAAGTTTGTATTCAGCAAAATAGATAATAGACAATTTTTTGCTAATTTATTGAGCTGTACATTGCTTTTTTTCTGTGTGTCATTTCATAATAAAAAAGGTACTTAAAAGTACAATGAAATGAACCAAAACAAGAGGGAAAATGTAGGAAGAGATAAGTGGATTGGAACAAAGAACATTTTCTCCTAGAACTGGTAAGTACAACTAAGAGCTGGTCCCACGAAAAGACAGACTAGACAAATGTTTGGCAAGTGTGATCAAGAAGACAGAACTACCAGAAATGACAAAGAGTATATAGAACACCATAAGCAAAGACAAAATTGACTCAAAATAAGGTGGAAAACTTAACCAGAACATTGTCCATGGGAGAAGTAGAAGAGATTGTTGAAGATCTATCTTTATGTCTTCAAGACACAAGGCCCAAACAATTTTAGTGGTCAGGTCTGTCAAATCTTAAGGACTAGGGTGGCATGCGACTGTAGTCCCAGCTACTCTGGAGGCTGAGGCAGGAGAATGGCCTGAACCCGGGAGGCAGAGCTTGCAGTGAGCTGAGATCACGCCCACTGCACTCCAGCCTGGGTGACAGAGGGAGACTCCGTCTCAAAAACAAACAAACCAAATCTTAAGGACTAGGTACTTCCTATGTAATCTAAATGGGTTAGACCATTAAACAATGCAGAGTAGGCCGGACACAGTGGGTCACGCCTGTAATCTCAGCACTTTGGGAGGCTGGGGCGGGTGGATCATGAGGTCAGGAGTTCGAGACCAGCCTGGCCCACATAGTGAAACCCCGTCTCTACTAAAAATACAAAAAAAAAATTAGCCGGGCCTGGTGGCGGGCACCTGTAATCCCAGCTACTTGGGAGACTGAGACAAGGAGAATCCCTTGAACCTGGGAGGCAGAGGTTGCAGTGAGCTGAGATTGCACCATTGCATTCTAGCACAGGCGACAGTGAGACTCCATCTCAAAAAAAAAAAAATGAGTAAACTATATAGCATCAAGATCAGAATTTGTCAAAGAAATTTGAATGCTTAAATTATGTTTTACTTTTTAATTAAGGCAACATATAAAGATAGTTTTAAAAAACAGAAATACACAGTAGAATAAGACATAAAACTGGAGATACCCTAACTATTCTGGATTCCCTCTTTAGGAATTTCTTCTTACATATGTACATATATAAATAAGTATATAAGTATATAAATAATTATTAATAAGTAAGAAGCCTATGATATTCTTTTTCTTTCTTTCTTCTCTTTCTTTCTTTTCTTCTCCTTTCTTTTCTTTCTTTCTTGTCTTTCTATCTTTAGACTGCCTATTATGGAAGAAGAGTTTTTATACTCATCTAAACCCTCCCCATATCTTCCTGATAGAAGTTCAATCAACATTTTACATTTTAACATTCAACATTTTAATTATTATCCTATGATTACATTTCCTTTCTTATATAATTTGTTTTCTTTGTGGTTAGTATTTTTCCCATTTTGGGGACTAGGGTAGTTTTGCAATCACCTACATCAATTTGAACTACACATCCTCTTTCAGTAGACACAAGTGCATCAAGTAATTTCTCAGGGTCTTTCCCCCTTGACGACGCACCTCCCAAAGCCTGTTATCCTCCTCCAGTTCGTGCTTGTTTCTTTAGACTTGCCTTTGCCCTTACGTAATCTAGAAATTCCTTTTGCTTCTTTCCTTGGTTGTATTAATTTATGGATCTCATATGCTGTTAAAATTTTTGGATAGAGGATAACCTCTGGTAGCTTCCTGAGAAACACTGGAAACAACCAATTATTATATCAATAAGTAATTAATTAGAGGATGGCTCATCCATACAGTGAAATGGCAAGCAGCCACCTTGAAAAGATGTTAGGACTACTGAGTGATCTTGTGAGGGTAACAGGTAGACCTACTCCCCCTCCCTCCTACTCCCCCTCCCTCCTACTCCCCCTCCCTCCTACTCCCCCTCCCTTTTAAGAATAAGCATTTTAAGAATAAGGTTGCTACACATCAAAATGTGAACCTTGAGAAAGCAAGTTGAAGGACTTCGAAACTGGATACAAGTTTCCTACATTAGGAGAAATAAAAGCAAGGAAAACAAGCCATTCTATAAAAGAAACATCAAGGAAGGCTTTAAAAAGTCAGAAAATGGGCCAGGCACAGTGGCTTACGCCCATAATCCCAGCTTGGGAGGCTGAGGCAGGTGGATCACCTGAGGTCAGGAGTCGAGACCAGCCTGGCCAACATGGTGAAAACCCCATCTCTACTCAAAATAGAAAAGAATTAGCTGGGCGTGGTAACTCATGCCTGTAATCCCAGCTGCTCAGGAGGCTGAGGCACGAGAATCACTTGAACCTGGGAGGCGGAGATTTCAGTGAGCCAAGATCGCGCCACTGCACTCCAGCTTGGGTAACAGAGTGAGACTCTGTCTCAAAAAAAAAAAAAAAAAGTCAGAAAATATGTAACACCAAATATAGCACTTATAACAATAAACATAAGTACTTTTAACACCCCTGTAAATAAAAGAGAGCCTAATACACTCATATGCCATTTACAAGAAAGACATCTCAAAGTAGCAAAATAATAAAAGTACAAGACTGGGCAGATACCTCAGCCAAATACATACAAAAAGAAAGCATAGTCTAAAGTCACTTCAGCCTAAAGTAGACCTCAAAGCCAAAACAAGGACAAAGAGCATTATTTTATGTCAGGAAAAGGAACATTTAATAGTGATTTATAGTTGTCTTGGATCTTTGTATTGAATCTTCTGATGTAGAGATATAGACAGTAGGAACTATCCCTCCTCACCACCCTGTGAAGCTGTAAGATATGGTAAAACCCTTGCACTGACACCGTTAAACAACTGTTCTTGGGCCGGGCTTGGTGACTCATGCCTGTAATCCCAGCACTTTGGGAGGCCAAGGCAGGCGGATCACCTGAGGTTGGGAGTTCAAGACCAGCCTGACCAATATGGAGAAAACTGTCTCTACTAAAAATACAAAATTAGCCGGGTGTGGTGGCGAATTCCTGTAATCCCAGCTACTTGGGAGGCTGAGGCAGGAGAATCGCTTGAACCCGGGAGGCGGAGGTTGCAGTGAGCGGAGATCACGCCATTGCACTGCAGCCTGGGTGACAAGAGCAAAACTCTGTCTCAAAAAAAAAAAAAAAAAAAAAAAAGAACTGTTCTTACTGGGGAGACAGCATACAAATAAAGACAATATTGAGTAGTATGAGGAAAACGAAAAGAGGGTGAGGGCACACAGATTGAAGGGATTAAGGAGAGTGAAATGGCGATTTCATAAGGCGATTAGTTTTAAAATGTCCAAAAATCATTAGGTTTCTTATGAATCACCCATTATCCTTTACTGTAGCCAAAAATAAATAAACGCTAGGAATAAACACTAGTGCTGCCGTTTCGAGAATGTCCTATAGTCATCCACACTTTAACCTTTTGAGTGTGGCTTCTTTTTTTAGCATAATGCATTTGAGATTCATTCACCAGTAGTTCATTCTTTTTTAGTGCTGAGTAATAGTCCATTATATGCATATTCCATGGTTTATTCACTCACCATGTAAAGAACATTTAGATTGTTTTCAGTTTTTGGCAATTAAGACACTGTACAGTTGGCCCTCTGTATTCGTGGGTCCCACATTTGCAGATTCAACCAACTGTGGATTGGGGAAAATAATGGATGGTTGCGCCTGTACTGAAGATGTACAGACAGACTTTTGTTCTTTTCATTATTCCCTAAACAATACACTATAGCAACTATTTACATAGCATTTTCATTATACTATTATAAGTAATCTAGACAGGACTTAAAGTTTCAATATAGGGGAGGATGTGTGTAGGGTATTTGCAGATACTCTGCCATTTTATATAAGGGACTTGAGTATCCATGGATTTTTTTATCTGCTGTGGGTTGGGGTTGTCGTGGAACCAATCCCCCACAGATAACGGGGGTCAACATTTGTATACAGGCTTTTGTGTGAGCATAAGTTTTCATTTCATTTGAGTCAATACCTAGGAGTAAGATCGCTGGGTCATATGGTAGATGTGTGTTTAACTTTATAAGAAATTACCAAACTATTTTCTAAAGTGGCTGTGCCATTTTGCATTTCTACCAGCAATAGATGAATTCCAGGTGTTCGCCATCCTTGTTAGCCCTTGGTATTGTCCATCTTTATTAAATTGTATTCTTTCTAATAGATGAGTAGTAGTATCTCACTGTAGTTTTAAGTTGCATTTTCCTAATGCATCTTTTGATGTGCTTATTTTGCATCTGTATATCTTTGGTGAAATGTCCAAATCTTACTATCATTTTTAAAAATTTGATAGTTTTCTGATTTTTCAATTTTGAGAGTTCTTTGTCCTTTCTAGATATAAGTCTTTTATTGGATAAGTGATTTGCAATTTTTTTCCTCCCAGTCTGTGACCTATTTTGGTTTAATTTTTGTATATGGTGCAAAGTATGGGTTGCGAGTCATCTTTTTGCTTATGGATATTCAATTGTTCTAGCACTATTTGTTGAAACAACTATTTCTCCATTGAATTGCCTTTGTACCTTTGTGGAAAATCAACAAAGGTCTATTCCAGGACTCTCTGTTCCTTTGATCTATATGTCTTTCCTTTTGCCAGTATCACACTGGCTTAGTTACAGTAGCTTTACAGTAAACCTTGAAATCAGGTAGTGTGAGTCTTCTACCACTGTTCTTTTAAAAAATTCTTTATTTTAGTTCCTTTGTCTTTCCATAGGTATAAATTTTAGAAATCAGTTTGTCGCTTTTTGCCCAAAATATCCTGCTAACATTTTGATTGGATTGCACTGAATCTATAGATCAGTTGAGGCCGAATTAACAACAATATTGAGTCTTCCAATCCATCAACAGTTTGTCTCTCTATAGGTCTTCTTTGACTTCTTTCATTAGTGTTTTGTAGTTTTCAGCATACAGAGATGTTGCGTATACTTCATCAGATTTATAACCAAGTATATCATATACCTTGGTATAACTAAACATTTAATTTTTTTAGTTTTAATGGAACTTTCAAAATTTCAATTTCAAATTGTTCATTATTAATATATAGAAATAGGATATTTAAAATATACATTGACTTTTTTTGCAACCTTGCTAAACTTAGTCTGAAAGGGTTTTTTTGTTTGTTTGTTTGTTTGTTTTTGTGTATTGTAGATTGTTTGGGATTTTCTGTCTATGTCCTCTGCAAACAGAGACATTGCTATTTCCTCCTTTTCAATCTATGCTTTGGATTTTGTTTTCTTACTTTGTAGCGTTGAATAGGAGTGGTGAGAACAAATATCCTTCCCTTGTCCCTGACCTTAGAGGGATAGCATTCAGTTTTTCACTATTAAAGAGGATATTAACTGTAGGGTTGTTTGTGACTGACCTTTATCAGGTTGAAGTTCCCTTGTATTTCTAGTTTGCTGAGTTTTTAAAAATCATCAGTGGATATTAAGTTTTGTCAAACGCTTTTTTACATCTATTCAGATGGTCAGAGGGTGTTTCTTCTTTAAGTCTGTTGATGTGATGAATTAGATTATTCACCTTTGGGATGTTGAACTAGCCTTGCACTCCCAGGACAGACACCATTTGTTCTTTCTGTGCATCATCTTTTATATATATATATATATATATATATATATATATATATAGCTGGATTTGATTTACCAACATTTTGTTAAGGATTTTTGAGCATTTGTTTATGAGTGATATTTATATGTGGTTTTCTTTTATTGCAATGTCTTTTTTTTTTTTTTTTTTTTTTTTTTCTGATTTCATTATCAGGGTAAGGTTTGTCTCTTAGAATGGATTGAGAAATGCTTCTTCCTCTTCAGTTTTCTAAAGAGTTTATATAGAATTGGTGTTATTTATTCCCTACCTGTTTTGGAGAATTTTCTAATAGAGCTATGATTTCTTTGTGAGAAGATTTTTAATTACAATTTCATTTTCTTTAATAGATAGAAGGCTATGCAGGTTACCATTTCTTCTTGAGTGAGTTTTAGTGGTTGTGTCTTTTAAATAATTTATCCCTTTCATCTTAGTTGTTGAATATTTTGTCATAAAGTCATTCTTAATATTTTCTTATTATCTTTTCAATATCCATGGGTTCTTAATCATACTACTTTTTAAAAATTACAGATATTGGCAGTTTGTGTCCTTTTCTCCTTTTTCCTGATTACTTCAGCTAGAGGTTTGTCAATACCATTGATCTTCTCAAAGAAGGAACATTTGGTTTCATTGATTTTTTTTTCTTTTTTCTGTTTTCCATTTCATTGATTTCTTTATCATTTCCTTTCTTCTCCTTACTTTTGATTTAATTTGCTCTTTTCTAGTTTTTATTTAGGTAAGAGCCCAGATCATTGATTTAAAAACTTTCTCATGTTTAGAAAATGATTTGATTCAACATGGATTTATTGCATACCTCCTTATGTGATTTTTAGAAGGTGCTTTGGAAAATACTGAGCTATCAAATGAGTCCCTACTGTTTAGAAGGCTAGTTGCATTTTTGAAAGTGAGTTTTTCCCCCTTTAATATCACCGTAAGGCTCTGTTTGGTTACATGTATAGGGTTTTAGAGTATAAAGATCATTGGAAACTGTCGTAGTCCTGCAGTTGATCCTTGAAGGGTACAGAGGATTCAGTGAAGCAGAGGTGGGGAGTTGATCACAGAGTTGGAGAGAATCTGGGAGGTTGGCAAGCCTATCCCCTGTGTACTGAGGCCCAAAGTTAATACAAGATCAGACAGACAAATAACAAAAATAGATGAGTCTGGCTAGAAGAGAGTTGGTTTTTTGTTGTTGTTTGACAGGGGGTGGGATAGCAAGAAGCGTGGGGGAATGAAGTATGCAGCAGGCTGTAGTGTAGGTCTCAAATTTTAGACATTGATAATAGCATGTACAGACGCAGGAAGAACGCCATTTTGAATGAATTAGGAGGCAATTCGATTTGGGTTAATTTTTGTGTGCTTTGATTTCTTTAATGTGTAAACTACTTTCGAAAAACCATAAACAACTTGGTATAGTGGAGTTCTATAGAAATTGCTAAGACCAGGAAAATTCGGGGGTCTGAAGATTCATATTGAGAGTGAATAAGCAAAGACGTGGTAAAATCATGGTTTATAGGTGAAGAACCAGCCAGCAAGGAATAAATGCCTCATTTATAGATACACAGTTTGTGGCAGAGCTAGAACTAGAAAAGATTCCAGGCCCCATTATCTTGCCAGTGCCCACATGGCACCTAGCACTGGGTTTCTCTCAGCAGACCTCTATTAAAGCTAGCTGTGGCTCACCAAGGCTGTTAATCCTGAGAATAAAGAAGTAAGACAGTCTCGGATCTCAAGCAATGCATTCTAGTGGGCAGTCAACCGCAGTATTGTTTGTCTGATTCTAAAATACACTTAAAAGAAGGCAACATTGGCCAGGTACGGTGGCTCATGCCTGTGATCCCAGCACTTTGGGAGGCCGAGGTGGGTGAATCACAAGGTCGGGAGATCGAGACCATCCTGGCTAACACGGTGAAACCCCGTCTCTACTAAAAACACAAAAAATTAGCCGGGCGTGGTGGCGGGCGCCTGTAGTCCCAGCTACTCAGGAGACTGAGGCAGGAGAATGGCGTGAACCCGGGAGGTGGAGCTTGCAGTGAGCCGAGATTGCGCCACTGCACTCCAGCCTGGGCAATAGAGCAAGACTCCATCTCAAAAAAAAAAAAAAAAAGGCGACATTGAGAAACCTGAGGGAGAGTGTTTGGGAAGGTATTCCTAGAGGAGGTGAAGCTGGATCGAGGCCAAAGGGACATGCAGGAGATATCCCAGTGGTTCTGTGTCTAGGAAGAGTATGTTGGAAGAAAGGATATAGTGTGATCTCTGTGTAAGTAAATGAATAAAGGAGGCAGACATTGACTATGTACTATAAATGTTGGCTGTGGCAGCCAGAAGGAAGAATAACACCAGGTTATGAGCTATTAGAATGAAATTAGGGCCGGGTGCCATGGCTCACACCTGTAATCCCAACACTGTGGGAGGCCGAGGCAGGTGGATCCCTTAAGCCTAGGAGTTCAAGACCAGCCTGGGCAACATGGCAAAACCCTGTCTCTACAAAGATACAAAAATTAGCCGGGCATGGTGGCACCTGCCTGTGGTCCCAGCTACTCAGTAGGCTGAGGTGGGAGGATTACTTGAGCCGAGGAGACGGAGGTTGCAGTGAGCTGAGATCACACCACTGCACTCCAGCCTGGGCAACAGAGCGAGACTCTGTCTGAAAAAAAGAAAAAGAAAAAAGAAATTAGACTTGAGCAGGACAGTACTGTGTTCTTTGTAAATCTCAGTTTATACATAGAGTATATGAATGGATTTGTTTAATAATATTATGTAAAAAAGAATACGACATAGTGAACGGAGCACTTATTTCTCTTTCATGGAAGTTATTTATGCCTAACTGCTGTGAAATCCTCCTTAGGCACCGGAGGCATCCACCAGAGGAAAAGAAAGCACAGCATAGCAAGCAGCAAAAAAGCTACTTGGGCCAGGACTTGTGAGCTCAGTTCCTTTCTAGGCAATGACAAACTTGTTTCGTATTGTTGAGAACACACACAGGTGCTAGAGGCAGACAGGCCTGGGTCCTCATCCTGGCAACCTTGCCCCTTCGTAGCCGTGTCACTTGGGAGGATTACCTAGCCTCCCTGAGGAACATTTTCTCATCTGTGAAATAGGGATAGTAATACTCATAAGTGATTAGAAATTCTGCATCCTCTACTGGTAATTTTGTCCATGGGCTAGATAGTGGTTTGATTTTCACCTTTTTATTTGAAAATTTTAGTTGGATCCTTAAATTATTAATCACTTTAAAATCATGTTAGATTCTTTTGTTGTATTTGGTGTATAAAACATGTTGACTTGAGACTATATTTATAGATGTTTATCCTCCTTCAACTTTCTTTCCACTCAGTGTTTAATACTTTTTTTCCTCCTTTAAGATGACATTAGCAATGATTCCTCTCTGGTTGTGGGTATTCTTGAAGCCATTCTGAAAGGCCGTGGTTTCCAAATCTGGCCAGGTGTCATAATCACCTGGGGCGCTTATTTAAAGAAGGGTTTTTAATCCCCATCTCCCAGAGTTGAATGATTTAGTGAGGTGGAGTGCCAGGAAATACATTTTTATAAAACTTCCCGGTTGAATTTGTATGCGGCAGGGTTTGAGAATCAAGGTTAATTAGGCATATAAAGTCATCCAGGCAAACGATGTGTGGAATAAGCCTGAGTTACTGTTATTTACCCCCAGAGACTCTGGCATAATAATAGGAGATATGAGGGGGTTTGATTAGATTTAGGACTGTATAATGGGGTTGGAGGCATTAACTTGGCTCGAGAGGAGTAGTTACTAATATTTTATAGGCTATTACTGCAACTTTATTATATCAAATATTTTAAAACCAGGCAAATGGTCACTTTCTTTTTTTTGTTTGTTTTGTTCTGTTTTATAGATCGTGAGGACCAGTCAATTCTTTGCACGTAAGTAAATGTTGAATGTTCAGATTTGTTTTTGATTTTCTTGGAAAGTGGAGCAACTATTTTTGTCTGGGGGGAGGGGAGAAGTAGAGCAGTAATTTTTAAGAGTTTGATGTAAACCTCGCAGTTATTTTAAGACTAAGATTATGTAAGTTGCTTAAATTTGGTGTTAATGGTTGGTTGTCAGTCTGGGCTTTTCACACATTTTATAATGTTAATCTGTGAAACTTACATCTTTAGTTCATAGGTCAAAGTGTAGGCCTACTGGACGTTTCAGTAATTTATTCTTTTTACTCAATAAGCATTTACTGATTATCAAGTGCCTACTGTACTGTGTGCTCAGTGTTAAACATTCACAGCAGAATAAAACAATATCCACAACAGGACACAATTAGATTTGCACATTAGAAAGATTACTTTGGCAGCAGTGTGGAAAATGGAGTGGAGGAAGAGTTGAAACAAGAGGACCAGTTAGGAGGCTATTCAGTTATCTAGGCAAGAGATGGTGAGGACTTCAGGTATAGAAGTAGTTATGAACCTAGAGAGCAGTGGTTGCGTTTAAGCGGTGTTCAGTTTAGGAGGCAGATTTACCAAGACTTGGTGATTTACATGCATAAGAAAAAGGAGCTAAGAGAAGGTTTTGTTGCTGAAATCTCCTGACATGGGAACATGGGAGGAAGAACAGGTTTGGAGTGGATGATAATGAGTTTGGTTTAGGACACATTGCATTTGAGGTCCCTATGGCTCATGTAAGTGGAGCTGTCATTGGGCTCTTGGATATGTGGGTTTGGAGCTCAGGAGAGTGAGATCTGTGCTAGAAATGCAGATCTGAAGAGTCAGTGGCATGGAAGGTGATGGAAGCCATGCCGATGAATGAGATTACCTTAGAAGAATGTGTTGAGAGAAAGCAGAGTGTGGAATCCTGAGGAAAGCCTACACTCAAGGGTCAGGCAGAGGAGGAAGAACCACAAAGAAGGCTAAAATGACCCATCATAGGGGCATGAGGAGGCAAGAAGGTGTGGTGGCACAGCAGTCAAGGGGAGAGAGGCATTTCGGGACAGAGGGAGGGGTCAGCACTTCAGATTGAGTGGATGAGATGAGCAGCAGCGTGCCCACTGGACCCAGCAATAGAGAGTGGAGGGTGCTGGAGTGGACTGGGGATAGCGAAGAGGTAGAGAAGCCAGGTGGCAGTTGAGGCATGAAGGGGAGGTGAAAATGTCAAAAATAAAATACAATTTCTAGAAAACTCAAGTATGAACCTGCTACTTTCAGGTAGTTTGGGAAGGTGGAGAGTAGTTGAGTGGTGGTAAGAGATCAATAGGATTTTTGTTTTTGGTGTTTTTAGTGTGGGTGAGATTCAGTGCTGATGAGAGGAAGATAACATTTTGGGAGTGGCTTGGATTTGGGCAGGAAGGAGAATTGAGAGAGCAAGGAGGGTGATGAGGTGCAGAGCACAGGGGTTGGGTGTCTGGGCACAGTGAGGTCCTAGTGGGGGGCGCGACTCTTCTCCAGTGACGGGCCAAGGAGGCAGATGAGTACCAATGCGGGTAAGTAGGGGTGGGGAGCTGTGAATTGAGAAAATTCTAATCTAATGGTTTCTCTTTTCTATGAAGTAGAAGACTTGGTATTTAATAAGAAAGGGGAGGAGTGGCAGGATAGGAGGTTTGAGGAGATGAGAGTTAGTCAGTCGGCTTTGTTATATGAATTTTTTGCTAGCATTGTTTAGCCTTGAGGAGTTATATAAATTAGCTTTTCCTGAACAGCAAATCACGCTGAAACTTAGTGGCTCAAATCAGCACGGTTCTACAGGTTTCCCAGCAGTTGGATTGGGCTCAGCTGGGCAGTTCTGCAGATCTGGGCCAGGCTCAGCTTTCTTATTGGAGGCTCACTGCTGCGTCTACGGACAACTGTGGGATGGCTGGCTGACTGTTGGTGGGGGTGCCTTGGTTTCTTCTCCACTTGGTGTCTCTTTCTCTGGCAGTCTATCCCTGGCTTTTAACGTGGTAGCAGCGTTCAACAGCAGCAAGAGGGCAAGCTCCAGTGTGTAAGCATTGTTCAAGTTTCTGCTTGTGTCACATTCTGCTGTCCCATTCCCAAGCAAGACATGGCAAGGCATGGCATGAGTCAGGTGGGAAACATCATAAAGTGAGGCATGAAACAATTGGAGCCATTACTTTAGCTGATCCACCGTGGATGTGTTGGAATACAAACAAAACCAGGTGGAGACTTGTACCTTCTCTTAGATGAAGTGGTTTGATGAAGACTTTTGGGAACGTCTGAAAGCAGGAAGCACTTAGGGAGGGAATGACTTGCTGTTTGACAGAACAAAAGTTCGTGAGTACTTATTTTGTTACCCAAAGTGGCCAGTACAGACGCTAGCACTTATGATTAGATGATCGACACCATTTTAGTTTGTACTTTGTCACCAATTAATAGACTTGGATTTATGAGGTAAGTCTTCTAGCACCTGGGTTTATCTCTTCTTGGGTACAAAGGGGCAGTCATCAAGTACCATGTTTGTTTTCTTCCATTCTTTTTTAAATTGCTTTTTCCATTTTATTATGAATATTTTCAGACATAAAGCACAGTTGAAAGAATTTTGCAGTGAACAGCCATGTGTCTACCACCTAGATTCTACTGTTAATATTTCACTGTACTTGCTTTATCCTGTCTGTCATCCATCAGTCCTTCTTATACTGTTTATGTTGGGAGGAAAACTTTTCCTCTTGCAACTTGGGTTCAGGGGACCTGCAAGTTAACTGACAATAGACAGATTAACAGAGAAAAGATAAGACTTATTTACACAAGTGTACTCAGTGATGAGTGTCTCATGGAATTATAGAAATAAAAGGCATATATCCTCTCCCTGACAAAAGGGTCCTGTGAAGTTTAAGGCTTCAGTGGGAAAGTATGGAGGGTTCTCTTGGTCTATTTGATGCTGATGAACAGCTGGGTTCACTCTGTTCGGTGCTAAAGGGCATGCTTTTCTCAATCTGGGAACCTCCCTGGGAGGGGTCAGTGGCAGCTGCATATACTGGGGGGTCCTGCTAAAGTTTAGATGATGTTTCCTTATGTGGCTGCTGAGATGTTTTCAGTTTAAAGTGATTTTCATACCACTTTAGTGGGCTATTAATCCCTTCATTTGATGCATTTCAAGTTCAATTGTAGATAGACATCAGTACACTGTCCCCTAAGTACTTAAGCATATAGTGTTAACTGAAGCCCAGTATTTTCATCTTTTTCTTTTGAAACAAAATTTACTTAGAATTAAATGCACAAACCTTAATTATTCATTTCCTAAGTCCTTGTATAACCCAAACCGTTATCCAGATGTAGACAATAATACCATCACCCCAGAAAGTTCCTTCTCCTGTCCCCCCGTACTTACCTACCTCCACCTCTCTCAGCCTCATTATAGTTTAAAATTTTTTAGATACCACTGATATTTAGTAACAGCTTTTCATGTTCATGTCTATTATAAAGTTACATTGTGCCCTGAAAAATATGAAAAAGTTAAACAATGTATCTTAGATTTAGGAAAATATGATATGTTCCATGGTGCCTTTGAGGATCCACCAAATACAGTACTCCAAGTGTGTGTGACTGGGGTCTTCATAAACTTAGTCCACCGCCAAGCTAATTAAGTTTTCTGCATAAGATAACTATTTAGGGGCAGTCACTCTGTGATTCTCCCCATGCTCATGTTAAATAAATTTGTATGCCTTTTCTCTTATTAAAAAACTGTTTAGTCAACTTCACAAACTTTCCATATGTAGCTATATATATATATATATACACACACACACATGCACATATATATACACATATATAGATATATACACATATATACACACACATATATGTACACACACACACATATATATATATAATATACACACACACACACATATATATATGTAGTACGACCAAAAGAAAATACAGGCCAGGCATGATGGCTCACGCCTGTAATCCCAGCACTTTGGGAGGCCAAGGTGGGCGGATCACCTGAGGCTGGGAGTTCGCAACCAGCCTGACCAACATAGAGAAACCCCGTCTCTACTAAAAATACAAAATTGGCCGGGCATGGTGGTGCATGCCTATAATCTCAGCTACTTGAGAGGCTGAAGCAGAAGAATTGCTTGAACCCGGGAGGCGGAGGTTGTGGTGAGCTGAGATTGCGCCATTGCACTCCAGCCTGGGCAATAAGAGCGAAACTCCGTCTCAAAATAAGTAAATAAATAAAAAATAAATACAACTAGATGCAACATGGTTTTATTATTATTTCTTAATCAGTATTAAGTAGTTTGATAGCATCTCCTTAAGCTTTTGAGAAAGAAAGCCTTTTTATGTGAGGAATGCAAGCCCCTTTAAATTATCAGGCCCAGAGAGGCATTGGACGGAAACAACAGTTTCACTCCCTCCTTGAACTAGATAATTACCTCTTAAAGCCACCTGTTAAGTGTGCTCTAGACTGATGCCAAGTAGCCAAAAAATGCCATACACTAGACACTATAACTCACCCCTGTGGTTCAACAGTGTGTATCCAATCACTAATCAATGTTATCTCTGTAAACCAGTGAGAATTCCTGTCACACAGCTTTGTATCAGCCCACTCTTTGTACCCTCTTTCCTTTAAAAACTGCTTGTAAAAAAGGCCCAAGGCAAGTTGAAGTGTGTCCTGGGCAGCTGGCTTCAACCTTGGCCCAAATACACTTTCTATATTAATTTTGCCTCAGCATCTTCCTTTAGGTCAGCATTTCACTTTTTCAGTCATTTATTCTGTAATTTGCTTTTCCCCCAAAAGGATATACTTCTTAATTTACACTCTGGCCTTATCTGCCCATAGTTCCCCAGGTAACCTTTTGTTTCTGCAAACTCAGGCCAGGCCTTGTGAGCTCCCACTTGCAAGCCGCCTGTTTAATGCTTGTTTATCTGAGTATCCTAGTATTCTCGTGTGTGGTGAAGACACTCAGGCTGCATGCATCCTCTCTCAGGAGAGAGTGGTCTTTCACACTTGCACCCCCATAGAACTGGAGGTGAAATCCTGCTACAGTGTAATCCTCATGTTGATTTTCCTTCTCATCAGAATTAAAATTCACAAAGCAGTCACCCTTGATGAGGAAATTACTCTGTTCTCTTAAACCCCCCTTTTAAAGAATACTCTGTTTATGTTTTATGACTCTAACTGCTTTAGGCAAGTTGGTTTTCTCCTTTTGAGTATATTTGAGTATAATGTAAAAATTATAAAATAATGGTTGCCTCACAATGGCCTATTAAGATGTGACAGTCGATGTTTTTGTAAAGGAATCTTATCTATTATATACAAATATTACATTAAGTAATGATAGCCAGCCAGCCAGGATTGAGAACAGTTGATTCCTGCTAGGAATAACATGCGTTAAAAGTTTTAAGGCAGCTAAATTGATAGAATTGATTAAACAGCGAAGGCAACAGTGTAATGTAGTTGAAAAAACATTGTGTGGTCAGATAGAACTCTGGTGTTCTTTCTTCTCCCAGCTCTGCCATGAACTATGTGATTCTGGATCAGATTGTCAGCCTCTCTGAACCCTATTGCCATATGAGAATAACTATTTAGGGGGGCTATCAGACTGTGATTCTCCCCACGCTCATGTTAAATGAATTTGTATGCCTTTCCTCTTGTTAAAAAAAAAAAGGTATTATTTAGTTAACTATTTAGTCAATTTGCTTTTCTAATGACTCTATTTTATATGTCCTCAAGTCCTAAAACTTTGGGAATTATTAGATGTGTGTCTCACTTTCGATGACATCTATGTTATGGAAGAAAAAGAAGTATCAAATCAACTTGTAAATAGAAATGTAAAATGTTCTAGGCAAATATGCAAGGAAAGTGAACATGTCTTTGGAAGTGTTCTCTCCGTTAATCTTTGCAATACCTCTGTTATGTCCATTTACTGTCACATTATCCAAGACCTGATGAGGTAGTGCCAGTGCGATAGGGGAGACTTGAGTCCAAGCCTATGTTGATCACAAAATCTCTGCTCTTCCCAGTAAGCTGCTCTCTAAAGAGAGTTTGGAAACTGTAGGAAGTCATCTACTAATGTTATATGTTTGCATAGGTATAGATAATATAGGGGGTAATATGTATCTGGTGTTTTTCAAATCGAGGTTATCTAAAACAAGAACTTCAAGCAGAGGGTGATTTTTGAAGCTAGGCTGAATTCAGTGTTACAAATATCCAGACAAAATAAAATACCAATATTTTTACCAATAAAGATCTGAAAAAGGGGTTTCTCATTGGGGAAATCCCCATGGTCCAGAAGGAATTCAAAGGTCTCAGAATTGGTCACGTATTAATGATCTGCATCACTGCTTCTTTAGGCTGTTGTTTTTTATGTTTTTGTTTTGGATTGCACATCCCTTTGAGAAGCCAAAGCTGTAGACCTATTGAGGAAACGCAAACATGTTCACGTTTAGAAACTCCTGATCTTTTGTGTCCGAATGTGCTTCAACAGATGCAGGACACCTCCAGCTAGAAGCCTCCTTGCTTTGTTCTTGTTAGCTTTGTACTTCTACCACTCTCTTTGAAGGATTTCTTCTCCAAAAGAGCACGATGCTGGGACTGCAGCCTTTCCCCTTAACCATAGTCCTGTCTTAGACCAGCAGTGAAATAACCAGCCACTTAAAGTGTAAGACTGCTTCACCGTTAACATCTCATTTTGTTGATGGAAATGAGGTCAGATTCCCTTTGCCCTCACTCTTTGAGGTCTTGGCCTGTTGTTCACTTTTCTGAGGAGTCTCCTAATTTTCTTAGAGAGAAGTCTGCTGAGCTTTCTTTTTGGCTCTCTTCCCTCTGCTTTTGTTCAAGCTGCTTTTAGTTACCTCCTCTGTTTCCATCTGGGACAGATGTGCCATTTCTCATTGTTTTTTCTATTTTTCCAAGATTTATACTCCTTTGATCCTGCCACCTCCTTCATTAAAATCAGATTTTAAAAATTTCCATTACCATCTTCATCATCATCATCATTGATCATTATCATAACTATTGGTATCACCACTACCATTTATTGAGAGCCTTTTGGCGAGGACAGTGCTAGGCCCTTTCCCGCATTATCTCAGTCCTGTGAAGTCTCATTTTAAAGGCATATAAACTGAGCCTCAGAGAACTGAGTAACTTGCCTAAAGCTCCATAGCTAGGGAGTGGCAGAAGGATTTGAATCTAGGTAGGTCATTTTGATTCTGTAGCTCAGGTTCTTAACCACTGTCCTAACTATTGATTCATAAAGTTTAGTAATTCAAATCACCTCATGTATAGTGGATGAATATATGAGTGGACAATAATGGATAATGTTTATTGAATGTCATCTATATGCTTTAGTTGAGCTGTATTTTTTCTTCAACAACCCTATGTATTAGGAGCTATTATCCCCATTTTATAGTGGGCAATATAAGACCCATAATCTATCCTCTTGGGAGCTCAACAGTAAGGTTTTGAATGTATCTATCTTTGAAGCCATATTTTCTATAGCAGAGTTACCTTAGACCCGAAATATGTAAAATGTAGCACAGCTCATAAGCAATTGTTGAAGTATGGCTGCCTAAGTGTGACAGGCAGGAAAAAATGCTTTAAGGACACGTTGAAGCATGTCCATTGAGGCGGTTAGCTGGGAAACCACAGAGACAAACCAGGCTGGAAAGTAACAATCATAACTATATTTGAGACAAGTCATCATCAGTCTAAAAAAGAGGCCCATTTCTTGGTGTAATAAGAAATTATCTTTTTGAAACCAACAACCAACATCACGATTAATATGGAAACACTCAGTATTTCTAATACTGTTAAGAACAGAACAGAGAGACCACTGTCATAGCTATTAAGAAATTACACTTGAATAAAACCCAGATTCTTTACCATGACCTCCAGGGTCCATGGCACCCCTCCCCTTCCTGCTCCATCTGCCTCTCTCGCCACTCCCTCCCCTGATTGTTATTTATATCAAATCCTGGCACCTGGCCATCAGTCCCTGGACTATGCCAAGCTCTTTTCTGCTTTGGGGTCTTTGCATGTACCTCTCCATCTTCCTGAACACATTCCCCAGCTCTTCACTTGCCAGTTCTTGCTCATCTTTCAAGAGCCTTTCCCCTGACCTTCATATCTAGAGGAGGGGCTGTCCTTCCTTCTCTTTTTCCTTTTAGTGTCTTTTGCAGCATTCCTTATATCCTTATAATCTAATAATCTTTATCTGTTCTTATTTATTTTATGTATGTTCTTCTAACCTTGCACCCCACAAGGACATGGACTCTATTGACACACTATCCCTAGCACTCAGAAGAATGCCTGACACATAGAAGTTGATTTGCAAATGTTTGTTGAAAGAATAAGTGATTGAATGAATGAATAGAAACTATTTTCTTATCTATGTGCCAATAGTAGCCAGGTAGAAAATGTAATGGTGATGAAAAGAGATTGATAGGAACAAAAATTATTAAAAAGAGCCTAGGAGTAAACTTTAAAAATACGTAGGACCTACATTCATTCATTGACTCAGCAGTCTATATCAAGCACTTAACTCTGCCAGGCACTATGATTTTAAGGATAAATAAGGCAAACATGATCCTTGCTTGTTTTGAACTTAGAAAAATACAAAACTTATACCTGGGAGACACAGGGATGAAGACATCATTTCTCCTAAAAAAAAAAAAAATAAGATGAATATTGATACCACTTAACTCAAAATTCTACCTGTCGTTTTTTATTTGGGAGGCAGGGAGATGGGGAAGAGATAACAGAAAAAAACTATTTGAAGTTTACCTAAAAAAAAAACCTCAGCGTCTACTTGATTTCTTTTTGCTCTTTTCAAAAAGAAGGATGATGGTGGGTGCTCTGGTTAGTCACGTTTCAGAACGACTGAATATGGTGCTGGCTTGGAAGTATGCCACAGGTATGGGGAATAAGAAAAAGATAACTTTTTTTTTTTCAGGTGAAGTCTCGCTCTGTCGCCCAGGCTTGAGTGCAGTGGCAAGATCTTGGCTTACTGCAGCCTCCATTTCCCAGGTTCAAGCAATTCTCCTGCCTCAACCTCCCGAGTAGCTGGGATTACAGGCGCCCGCCACCATGCCTGTCTAAAAGATAACATTTTATATCACCTGAGAATGAATGTCTTTGTCAGTCATTGATATTGGGAGGTGGGCTGAATCATCTAGGGGAAACAATTAGATTAAATTCTTACCTGAAATCATAAAATTTTTTTCAGGTTGAAGATTCAGCTGTAAAAAGTGAAGCTATCAAACTTGTAAAAGAAAACAACAGATGGATTTAATAATACAGATGATATAAAAATGAGAGTACAGATTGATGTAATCTTGGTTGCCAGAAAGGCCTCTTTTAGCATGAATAGTGGGCAGAAACCTTAAAATAAAAGTTTGGTAGATTGGAGTACCTAAGATTCAAACACTTGTGGGTGGCAAATCAGAAGGGAACTAATGTTACGATAACATGAGGGGTGGTTAATAAGCTTCACATAGGAAATAGTCTTATAAACCATTAAGTGGGTTATATCTAGAATTGTCAGCTCTTGGAGCTAGAAAGGATCTAATCCAATGCCTGCATTTTACAGATTTGGGATACTGAGGCCCAGAGAAGAAAATTTCTTTACTGAGGCAAACAGTTGGTCACTAGGGTTCCTTCACCCAGTCTTCCCTGCGGTTGAGTTTGTGGTTATCTGGGTGCAGAGTTAAGAAGATAATGCAACCAGTAATTTTTCAGTAAACTACCGAAAAATTTAAGTTTTGGACACTTCAAATAGTACAATTTTTTTTTTTTTTTTAGACAGGGTCTTGCTCTGTTGCCCAGGCTGGGGTGCAGTGGCACAATCACAGCTCACTGCAGCCTCAACTTCCTAGGCTCGAGAGATCTTCCCACCTCAGCCTCCTGAGTAGCTGGGACTACAGGTGGGAGTTACCACACCCAGCTGATTTGTTGTGTTTTTTTTGTAGATGTGGGTCTCATTATGCTGCCTTGGCTGATCTTGAACTCTTGGGCTAAAGCGATTCTCCGGCCTTGGCATCCCAAAGTCCCAGGATGAGCCCCTGTGGCCGGCCCAAATAGTGCAATTCTAAGTACAATTCCAAGAAAGAGTCCAGCTTTGTTAGAAAAATTAGATTTTCAATCCTTAGATTAAATGCTTAGAGGATTATTCGTTGGCAAGGTATATAATAACATTTTTGAGTTTGGGGTGTTTTTTTTAAAGAAAAATTAATTAGATATTGAAATTTTTCTTATAATCCAAATTGAGAATTTTGTTGACTGTAAAGTTAGGTTTGCTTTGATCACGTCTTAGGGGAGCTTCAGTGTTTGAGCAGAGGCCGTAATTCAGGTCTCGCTGTGTGTGTAGCAGCTTGTCTGAATTTCAAGCCTAGTAGTGAGTAGAAATGAAAACTTTTGAAATGTGCCAGCCTTGCTTGTAAATATGAATCATTTAAAATGGTGGCATTTGTCCTCATTCACAACAAAATTCATAGTATTTACTCATTTTGACAACAAATTACGTCTGCCTATGTGTCAACACTGGAAAAAGTTACAAGGATTAAAAAGAAACAAAACACAGGCTGGGCAGGTGGATCACTTGAGGTCAGGGGTTTGAGACCAGCCTAGCCAACATGGCTAGACCCTGTCTCTACTAAAAATACAAAAACTTAGCCAGGCGTGGTGGCGTGTGCCTATGGTCCTAGCTACTTGGGAAGCTGAGGCAGGAGAATTGTTTGAACCCAGGAGGCAGAGGTTGTAATGAGCCGAGATCATGCCACTGTGCTCCAGCCTGGGCAACAGAGCAAGACTTTGTCTCAAAAAAAAAAAAAAAAAGAAAGAAAGAAAGAAACAAAACACAAATAAATAAATATATGAGGCTATAGCCCCTGCCATCAGGAACCCAGCCTATGAGGCACAACACTGGCACCAGGAAGTGAATCGTCACTAGCCTGCTCTGAGAGGGGGATCTGAGAAAGCTTTCAGTGGCTTTGAAGATGAGTATCAATACCAGCAGGCATCTCAGAGTTCTTTCAGCTGCTTCAGATTAAATCATATTAATTTAATTGTTTTAGGGATTCTCTGTTTGCAGTGCCAGATATGTTTATGGTACTGAGGAGTTTTCTTCATGAATGTTCTAATAAATTTCACTTCTCTGGTAGAACCCCCCCACCCCCAAGGGAAAAAAGAGTGTCGTGAACATTTTCCTGTGTCCTCTTACTGGCATCTATCAAGAAATATTTGGGTTGGCTGGGCACAGTGGCTCAGGCCCGTAATCCCAGTGCTTTAAAAGGCCAAGGTGAGCAGATCACTTGAGGCCAGGAGTTCGAGACCAGCCTGGCCAACATGGTGAAACCCCATCTCTACTAAAAATATAAGAATTAGCCGGGCATGGTGGTGTGTGCATGTAATCCCAGCTACTTAGGAGGCTGAGGCACAAAAATTCCTTGAAGCCGGGAGACAGACGTTGCAGTGAGCCAAGATCGCGCCACTGCACTCCAGCCCGGGCAGCAGAGTGAGACTCTGTCTCAAAGAAAAAAAAGAATTATTTGGGTTTATTATTTAATACCTCTTACAAGGATGATTTTCTTTTCTAACTACTGCTGATAGTTATTTTTTCTATTTATTCTTTTTATTTTTATTAATTATTGTTCCAATACAATTTAATTTTATCAGTTGTAATTTTGGAATGCATGTGCTGTGCTTTCGTTAAAGCAGCCTATATTAACTCTTTCTTTCAGGGGTGAGTCAGGTGCTGGGAAGACAGAAAATACAAAGAAAGTTATTCAGTACCTTGCCCATGTTGCTTCTTCACATAAAGGAAGAAAGGACCATAATATTCCTGTAAGTTTCTGCTCTGTTGTTTTTTAAATCTTCTTCTTCTTTTATAATTTCAGAAACAAAAATAAGGAAGCCAGTCTACTCTCCACACTGCTATAACTGACAGCTCCCTTGTCTCCACCTGCTCCCCGCCACCTACCCAGCAATGCTTTTTTCCACCCCAGAGGCTAGGATACAAGGAAATTGCTGTTAAAGAGGTTTTCTGACAGGGCAAACTGGAATTATGGTTGTGGCTTGATGCCTAATTTCTTGCAAAGATTTGCTGAGAATTGTTCAGCAGTTCTTTCTGAACTTGCAGTAGCCTCTTGCTACTACCCACAGCAGCTTGAGGGGAGGGTAGAGATATGGGAAGAAGTGATGACAGAAAAAGGGCAAGAATAGAAATGTCAGTTCTCCTTAATTTTTAGACATGCAGAAGTGGTAGTTAATACAGCCTGAGAGAACGCCAGCCAACCCAGCTTCCACAGTTCTCAACTGCACATTGGCTTGGTGCTTTGGAAATGGCTTACTGCTAGGCAAAGACTCAAACTTGCTAACATTTGCATTTGTCTGTTTGTAATGAACAGCAGGAATCGCCTAAACCAGTGAAACACCAGGCAAGTGCTCTTCTTTATGCTTCTTAGTCTTGAGTGTTTGCACTAATTTCTGTCTGTAGATTGAGTCTCTGCTAGAATCAAATGCCACTAGTTCTAAGTGAAATCTGTCATTAAAAAATTTTAATTTTGAAAATTTATTGCTTAGAGCCTTATTCTTTCTTGAGAAGCGCATGCCGTTTTGCTTTAAATTTGTTTTCTCAATAAATTTTAATATTTATTTGCCCTTTTATCATGACATTGAACTGCATGTTTATGAAGCCTATAAATTATGGTTTCATATGTCATTTACTAGGTGGAATTATTTTAATACTTATCAGACACATGGAAACCTAGCTTTGTGCCCTACACTACATTTTGAATTTGGGGCTGCCCCTTTAAAAATTATACCTTTAGAGCTAACAAATTTCTGATCTGTTAAAGTTTTATGGCATGGCATAGTTTATGCCTGTATGTGTTTTAAACCAAAGGCCCAATTATATTTAATATATAAAATAAATTAGAGCTGGGCACAGTGGTATGCACCTATAGTCCCAGCTGTTTGGGAGGCTGAGACAGAAGGCCTGAGCCCAGGTATTTGAGGCTGCAGTGAGCTATGATCACACAACTGTGCTCCAGCCTGGGCAACGGAGCAAGACCTCATCTCTATAAATAAGTAAAATAAAATCAATTACAATTTTCTTAATGCTGGGCAAGTAGTGGAAGACTGTTATTCTTCCTAGTTATCAGATGCCTGCCTTTTAGCTCCACAGACCATAGCAGTGAAAAAAGCAAGAATCATAGCATGACCTCCATTTCTCACTACCTGGGAGGAGAAGGAGGGCAGACCTGAGCCAGATACCTTGGATAGAGTAGGACATCTATACTTGGATTTAATCCTTTCCCTAGCATGGGAATGGTTTTGGTTGGTCTTCCACAAACATAATGATATAAAGCTGATATAAAGCAAGAAACAATAATATCGAGTTATGGAAATGATCTGTTAATATAAAGAAATAATCATAAATATCTAAGGAATTGTCATAGACACTGAGATTTTAAGATACCTTACTTAAGATTCTTAAGAGATTGCCAGCCACCCAAGCTGTACTGTACCTATGAAGGCCTATGATGTCCTTTTGCTCCTTTAGCTGCAGAATAGACCAGTGATACAAATGAAGAGGGTAAATGAAATAGTCATTATCCTGTAGGGTATTTAAAAGCTTCTTTGCCAATTAAAGAAGGAAAATCTGGACCAGAAACCAGTTTTTCTTTATGCTTTAGAGGTACTTGCTAAATGTCCTTTTAATTTGTACTTGTGTCGCTATTGAAATAATGTTAAGCAATTAATACACAGATTTAGGTTTTCCAAATTCCCTGTGGAACACATAAATCATTGTTGTTAACATTTTGTTTCGATGTCATTTTAAACTACAGAGTGGATCCCTGTTGTATGTGAGTAGCATGCCTACCCCCACCTAGATTTTACTTTGAGTCAAATCAATCCCTGGGAAGCAGGTTCTCCCAAAGAAGGCAGCAGCTTCTTTGGGCCATGCTTCCCGGTCATTGCCGATTTGCATGTCGTACTGCATGTGTCCACTGTGCACACAATCTTCAGTGCTGCTTTTCCCAAGTTGATTTTAATCGTAGTTAAGCAGTAGCTATGCTGATGTTTTTAGAAATATTAGAAGAATACTCGTTCTCAATTTTTCTTCCCCAACACAACTGAGGAACGTGAAATACTTAACAGCACCGTACGGAATGGTCACACCGTGGAAGGGTACCATTCAAGAAGTTACTTCTCCCCCTGCTGGGTGTCCCTGTCTGCGACTTCTTCACCCAACTTGAATGATTGCCTTAAAGTTATAGTTACAGTGTGAAAAGTCTGTACTTTCCAAGGTTACAGTTTCTTTTGGTTGATTTGATACCACTGGTTTGTGATTTTACATTGAACTTTATAAGCAAAAGTTGAATCCCGAGGAACCATGAGTGTACATCCAGCATTTTATCACTAAACGGTAGTATGAATTGTAAACCCAAAGGGGAGGGCATTTCTAGGCTCCTGATTTTGTCAGTCCTTTATATATTTGCTTGTTTATCTACTCATTCTTTTTTTGAAACAATTTAAATGAGATATAATTCACATACCATTCAATGTACCCATTGGAAGTGTACAATTTAGTGTTTTTAGTATATTCACTTTATGCAATTATTATCATAATCAATTTTAGAACATTTTCCTCACCCCAAAAGAAACTCCATACCCATTAGCAGTCACCTGCCATTTCCCCTCAGCCCCTGGCAAGCACTAATCTACTTTCTGTCTCTATGTATTTGCGTATTCTAGACATTTCGTGTGAATGGAATCATATAATATGTGGTCCTCCCTGACGGTTCTTTCTTTTAGCATAATATATTCAAGGTTCATCCAGATTCTAGCACATATAAGTACTTCATTCCTTTTTATGGCCAAATAATATTCCATAATATTAAATATGTGTCACGTTCTGTTTATCCATTCATCAGTGAATGGATATGGATTTTTTTCTACTTTTTGGCCATTGTAATTAATGCTGCTGTGAACACTCATGTACAAGTTATGGTGAGAACATATGTTTTCATTTTTCTTAGGTAGCTACCTAGAGGTAAAATTGCTGGGTCATACGGTAATTCTGTTAAACATTTTTAAAGAGACTGCACCATTTGACATTGCCACCAGGAACATGTGAGAGTTCCAGTTTCTCCATATCCTCATTGGCACTTGGCATTGTCTGTGTTTTTATTAAAGCCATCCTAGTGAGCGGTGTGGTCAGTCTTTTATGTTTACCTTTTAAATTTCATCTTCATTTTCAAAATATGAACAAATATAAGCAAATCAGTTTTCAAAATTAAAGTGACAATACTTAACTTGAAATAAACATTTATCTATGAACTTTTGGTGTACTTTTTATAACAAAATTAAAGGTCTTATTTGGCTATATCCCCTTAGTATCCACCAGCCGACTGCAAGTACAGCTTCTGTGTGCCCTCTTTCCTCAAGAGAGGTTGCTCTTAGAGACCCTCAAAGTCTAGCACAGAGTTCACAAAGCCTCAACATAGTGCAATTTCAGAGCAGATTTGAAAATAATCGATTAAGTTCTTAAACTTGACCGTCCCCTACAAATGATACCTTCAAGCCAGCCCACTTGTCTCCCTGTGTTTCCAGTCATCTTCAGGATGACTTTGTATCTTTCTCCAACCTGGTTTAAACTGTGCTGAACCAAGACAGAAAGGTGATAGAGAGCCTGCCAGTTGAGATTAGAGTCTGGTTTTCAACATGTGGTTGGTTGCTGCTGCCTGCTTTTAACCTTCCTGCAGCTCTGCCCTGCCAGGCCTGCAAGGTACAGCCGGATCTCAGCCTGAGTCCCCTTGCGGGCTGAACTGGACTTTTGAAAGAGGTATATATTTTTAACCATTTCGAACTCATGCTATATCATATAGCAAGTGTATATTATATACTATGTAATAAACCCAGGAGTGTAATTTTCACTATGACTGGTAAACTTTGAAAGCAGTATATAACTCTAAATATTTAGAACTTTAAAAATCATTTCAATAGCTAAGGCTGCTTGTTTTCTACATTCCAAAATAACATTATAGAATAGAAACAAGGGACATTGCCCATCCAATTCTAGAGGAAAAGTAAATAGTCACTGCCCCCTGATGGTTTACAAATGCCTTCATAATTTGGTTGAGATCTGTTAGCACCATTTATCTAATTATGAAATTGTTCAACACAGAAATTATCTCATGTTAATTTCTATATGTTATGATAATTGGCTTTGTACCAGGTTTTTGGGGATTCATTTGGGGAGTTTTTGAGATCGTTACTCAGTCTCACCAATGTCCACAAATCCATTAGTAGGAGTGATACCATGACACTATCAATGTAGTGGGACCAGCAACAGGGACGGAGGAGTGCCTGAGTCCACCATTACCATGGTGACTCTGAGGACCCATAAATCTTCTTGCTGCCTTTGGCTCACCACCATCCCCTCCCCAAATAGTTCTAGAATTCTGGGTTCCAACCTTTTGGCTTCCCTGGGCCACACTGGAAGAAGAAAAATTGTCCTGAGCTATGCATAAAATACACTAACGATAGCTGATGAGCTATTTAAGAAAAAAAGGTTTGTGCATAATTTTCATGATATCCACCATCACAGATAAGCAAAAAATGTCCTCACATTTAAAGAGTTGGACACCCGTGGAACCTCTGATTATACATTCATTCAGCAAAGCATTTGCCAAGCATCATTTTGACCTGATACTGACCGAGTTAGGCACAGGGGATACAACCAGGTTACTTGAAGCCAACACAAGAAGAATAGAATCAGTGGATCTCTCTCTCTCTCTCTCTCTCTCTCTCACTCACACACACACACACACACACACACACACAGAGAGGAAAAGAAAAGAACCAATAGAAAATTTGACTCAAATAATCCTTTTAGCCATATCTAAGTAATATTAAAGTAAGATATGCATTACTGGTTTTACCTCCAAGTTAGGAAAACTCTTTAAAGATGGACTATCAAAGTCTTTTTCTTATGATTTGGTAGGATGGTGTGTGATTTTAAGGAATCCAAAGTCTAGCAGTAGATATTTAGTATTAAGGTAATGTCCCACTTACTAGAATGCCAGTGTTTTTCCAAGTTTCCACATTCTCATCACATAGATTGAATTAGGTTTAAAAAAAAAAAGGCTTTTAGAGACCCAAACAGTTAATGCAAAGTGAGTATACCAAGGGCTTTGCAAGATATTGGTCATAGGAATGCTGATGGAACTGACTGCTGACCCCGGGGGGGTGGAGGAAGGCAGTCTATCACCGAATAATGACTGACATTTTTAATTTTTATTTTTTATTTTTTGGAGATGAGTCTCTCGCTCTTTCTCCCAGGCTGGAGTGCAGTGGTGCGATCTCTGCTCATTGCAACCTCTGCCTCCTCGGTTCAAGCGATTCTCCTGCCTCAGGCACCCGCCACCACACCCGGCTAATTTTTCTGTATTTTTAGTAGAGACAGGTTTCACTGTGTTAGCCAGGATGGTCTCGATCTCCTGACTTCATGATCCGCCTGCCTTGGCCTCGCAAAGTTTTGGGATTACAGGCATAAGCCACCGCGCCTGGCCCCTGACTGGCATTTTTAACAATGGCTCTCAGTCATCAAAGTTGTTCAGGATACCATGCTTAAGACAGTTTGGCAGCATGTAATGGTTTAGAAAAATTTACAGCACGAGACCATCCTGGCTAACATGGTGAAACCCCGTCTCTACTAAAAATACAAAAAATTAGCCGGGCATGGTGGCGGGTGCCTGTAGTCCCAGCTACTCGGGAGGCTGAGGCAGGAGAATGGCATGAACCCAGGAGACGGAGTTTGCAGTGAGCCGAGATCGCGCCACTGCACTCCAGCCTGGGCGACAGAGTGAGTCTCCGTCTCAAAAAAAAAAAAACAAAAACTTTACAGGAAAAATAGTCTGGTAAGGGTTTTGAAGTGAGGAAAACAGAAGATTTGTTGTACAGGGAGGAAACTGTCTAATGCCAAGAAAATAAACCGATGCCATGTAATGACATCCACGTAGCTTGAGGTTCTTGACAAGACTGGTTCCTGACTGGCTTCAGTTGAACACGGTTGTAGATTGTAGTTAAGACCTATGAACATGCGGATAGTCCAGATCATGCTGTAATGGATGTAGGCAGAGCAGGTCCCCTTCCTGTGTAATGTGCCTGAGGAACACTTCCCCACCCTTTCAGCTGAGTGACAGTCCACACCAGGGCGGCGTGACAGAACTGTACGGATGACATATATTTGTTCTTTTTTTTGAATTTGATGGTGATGGAGTGCATCACATACCAAATGCCACTAATTTAAAAGCCTCATGTGAGGTTCTTTATATTCATCTTTTTTGCTTAGAGTATCGCATTTCCTAGCAGCTTTTATTTAGTTTTTCTTTAGGTCTAAAATACTGTGGGTATTTTAAAATATAGGGGTAAGATTTATGTTTGGAAAAAGCAGGTTTATTTAAGTCATAAAATATAATTCTGAAATTACATTCCAGAAACACAGCATCACTTCTGGTGCTTTTCATGGCCAGAAATGGCATCATGCTTTCTCATACAGCTTTCTATTGTGTTTCATGATTAAAGTACGTATTAATATATTTCCACCTTTTGTTTGTAAAATCTGTTTTATAGCCTAATTTACATATAAGTAAAGACACCAACTAAAGCAGACATTTTACCGAATCCTCTCTACTTAGCCTTTTAAATCTGAGCAAGTTAGCAGCATCAACGTCTTTACCATCCTCTGAAAGTGGAGGTGAAGACATTGCCCTGTCTATATGATAGAGATAGTATATGAAACTCCTTGGAAAACTGGAAAGTGCTACATCAATACAGTGGTAACTGTTAAATTAACTGCCTTAAAGTTTTCAAATAAGGCAGAGTTAAAATAAACAAGTATTAATATGTTCTTAATTGAAGTGTCGTGCTAAATTTCATTTCATGAAAGCCAGTCTGTTTTATTTTCAAAATTCTCTGCCTGATTTACGTGCCCCATGCTTAAGTTGATCTTCTCTGTTCAGCGTGACATTTTTTTCTCCTTGTGACCACTTTATAGATGCTAATTTTTTCCTTTAGTGGAGTCCATTATCATAACCAGGATTAAGAAGCCAACAAAAGTTGCTGGATGGCAGACAGAATGAAAGAACTGAGGAAAAGATGCAGTTTCTTTTTTAGAAATTTTTCCCCTGATGACTTGAGTAAAGACATTAGATTAACGTACATCTGCTTTTATTTGTGTGTGTGTAATGTCTTTTAGGGGGAACTTGAACGGCAGCTTTTGCAAGCAAATCCAATTCTGGAATCATTTGGAAATGCGAAGACTGTGAAAAATGATAACTCATCTCGTTTTGTAAGTTTCAAAGCACCAGAAGCTTTTAATTCCTTAGATTTCTAGTTAAATGTTTACTGTGATTAAGCAAATGAATTACTTTTCTTCCTAGATTTTAAGAAGCTAATAGATGTAGTTCTGTAGACATAATACAAGCTCACATGTAATTTTAAATTTTCTAGTAGTCACATTTGAAAAGAAAAAAGGTAATGTGTAAGTAACTTTCATCATTTTATCATACAGAAATGTATAACTCTGTCTTATTTTATGGATATGTAATTTAACCTCTCTGAGCTTATTTATCTTTGATTGGGCATGATAATAACACCTGTCAGTGGAATCGGAGTAGAGAATAAATGGTGTGCACGCTGAGCACTTAGCCCGGCACTATGCATAGTAAACATTCAACGCATTAGATGTGGTAAACTGACCTTTTCCTACCTTGCTATTTTCTGTGGGATTTGGACTTTGGAATAATTTGTCACTACTATGACTTCTCTTTAATTTTTTTTTTTTTTTGAGACAGGGTCTTGCTCTGTCACCCAGCCTGGAGTGCAGTGGCACAGTCATAGCTCACTGCAGCCACCAACTCCTGGTCTCAAGGCATCCTCCTTCCTCAGTCTCCCAAGGAGCCGGGACTACAGGCTCACGTTACTTCACCAGGCTAATTTAAAAGAGTAACTTTTTTTTTTTTAGAGACTAGGGTCTCACTATGTTGTCCAGTACTTTGGGAGGCTGAGGCAAGAGGATCGCTGGAAGCCTCAGCCTCCCAAAGTACTGGGATTACAGGAATGAGCCACCACACCCAGCCTAAAAATTCTCCTTAGCTATTCAACTTGAAAGCTTTACTTTCCTCCTCAGTTTGACTAGCTGTACCTGTTCACCTGAGAATGTTATCCTAAGTGATGGCCAGGTCTCTGTTACGTCAGAGACACTGCCCCTTTCCACCCCAGCTGCTCACCTTCAACACTGTCACAGCAAATCATCTCTAAACCCATATTCAACACAACGGACATTCCTCCAGTAAGTCTTTTGCCCTGGATTATGGTCATCAAGTTTCAGAAACCCCTTCCACTGTTAGATTGAAGAAGGACTTCATTGTTCAATTATTTCCACTTAAGTTGTTCAAATTAATTCTTCCCTTTTTTTTCTCCCTGCTCTGAAGTATTGGTAAAAGTCAAGAACGCCAGAGTAAGAGACCTCAGTTCTAGCAGTTCATTGATGGATAATTTGGGGGATCTAGTGTCGTCGTGACACGCTTTTTAAAATTGAGATAACATCATGGTCTGCACATTAATTTACCGATGGTGTGGTTGCTATGATTAGTGGAAGCGACCAGATTCAGGATCACAGAGGACCCAGCAAACACAAGGGCAACCATAAAGCCCTCTGGATTAGTTCACTAGGGCTGCGATATAAAAGTACCACAGACTGGGAGCAGCATAAACAATAGAAATGTACTTTTCCACAATTCTGGAGGCTAGATGTCTGAAGCAAGGTGTTGGCAGGATTGGTTTCTTCTGAGGCCTCTCATAACTGAACCCAAGTTCGGCTGCGTGCCACTTGAAAGCCACCCACGAGAGACGAGAGTTGGTGGGAGGAAAAGCAGGTTTATCTGGAGAGCCAGCAAACGAAGATGATGGTGGACTAGCGTCCCAGAGGACCCTCTGAAGTCAGAACACATTTTAGGCTGTTTTTATGTTAAGGCAGGGGGAAGGGGAGAGGGTTGGGATGAAGAGGTAACTGACGACCACAGACATCTGGGCGCCGGCAAGGGTCCAAGGAGGTTGGGAATATCCTTGTCCTTAGTCAAGTCACAGTGCTCTCATCAATCTTTAACGAAACATAGTTGTTCACACACTTCTCCTTTAATCTCAGAGTTAGTTTTAAAAACTACCTGATTGCTGTTTTTGCATATTATCTCAGTGCTCTAAAATTATCCTTGTCCATGTGCAGGAATGGGTAAAGGCCCCTTAAACAAAAATGGAGTTGGTTATGTTAGTTCTCTTGCTGATTCACTGTGCACTCTTTCTTTGGCTTATAGATGGTTGTATTCTCCCTATGTCTTCACGTGGCCTTCCCTCTGTGTGTGTCTGTGTCCTAATCTCTTCTTATGAGGACACCAATTATATTGAAGTAGGGTGCACCCTAATGACCCTTTTTTAATGTAATGACTTCTTTAAAGACCCTCTTCCTAATTACAGTTCCATCATGAGGTCCTGGGGGTTAGGACTTCAACACAGGAATTTGTGCAGGGACGCATTTCAGCCCATAGCACCTTCAGAGATAGTTTCAGTGCAAGACGCTTTCCAAGTTATGTAAGAAATAGGGATGTATTTTCTTGGAATATTGTTTATTCCCAGGAAGATAAAATTTGAAGATTCACTTAATCCAAGTTCATTTAGTAATTAATTTAGCTTTTTATGTGCAAAGTGGGTTAACAAATGTGCCTGTGTCAGTAGGAGGCATGCCTGTGACTTGACTCGTGGGTTTAGAAACGATCTGAGGAAACTGCATTCCTTCAGACTTTCCGTCACTCTCCTGGATCATCCCCATTGAGCCTGAGCCACAACTAAATCTGAAATTTTCCTACTGAAATGCCCTGTGTTTAGTGGCTATATCACAGGAAAGAAGGAACAGTGAGCTGCCAGCTTTGGTATGTGAATCTCCATCAAGATCTTCAAGGACTTCTTTGTGGAAAATTGTTTATCTTACCACAGAAATCAAGTTACTAATCTATTCTGTTTCCCCCACCCCCAGCCCTCAAACCATACCCTAAATTCAAGAGAGACAGTTTTGGTGCTCAGTGGCCCCGCTTTTTCCTGGAAAAGATAAATTGCTACTAAGCCGTCATTTGTGTCCTTGGGTAAAGAATGTAGTGGTTCTGTTACGAAGTGTAAGGATTTATCCCCCTGCCAGGGTGTGTTTCAACTCATTATTTTAGTGTTTGGACAGATATAATTCTATATTAGTTATCAGTTGCTACGTAACAAATGATCCTAAAACCTGGTGGCTTCAGGCATCGATTATCTCATGGTTTCTGTGTGTCAGAAAGTCAGTAGCAGCTTAGCTGGGTGACTCTGGCCCAGGGTCTCTTAGGAGGTCGTCACTGAGATGTTGGCTACAGCTGTAGTCATCTGAAGGCCTGACTGAGGTGGGAGGATCTCCTTCAAATCTTCCTCAGGTAGCTCTTGGTGGGAGGTCCCTATCCTACATGGCTCTTGGCTGGAGGCCTCAGTTCCTGGCTTTGGAGGCAGCCTCTCCATAGGGCTCCTTGAATGTTGCCATGACATGGCAGCCAGCTTCTCCCAGAGCAAGTGATCCAAGAGAAAGACAGAAGTTACACACTCTGCCTTGGAAATCACATGCCTTCTTCTATTGTCTTCTATTGGTTATACAAACCAACCCTGATACTGTGTGGGAGGGAACTGTGAATACCAGAGGTGGGGATCATTGAGGTGGTCTTGGCTATCATGGCTACTATGAATCCTTACAGTGATTTCCATCATTGATGTATGTAGGGTTTTAACCTGTAACTGGAGTGACTCTAGGTCAGTGGTTCTTAATTGGAGGTTCCCCAAGGGACGTTGGCGGTGTCTGGAGACATCTTTCTTTGTTTAACTGGGAGATTGGGTAGTGGTGTGCCACTGGCATCTAGTTGGTAGAGGCCAAGGATGCTGCTAAATACCATCCAATGCATGGCACAGTCCCCACCGCTTAGAATTATTGAGCCCAAAATACCAGTTATGCTAAGATCGAGAAACCCTGCTCTAGATCGTTCCTTCAAATTATAGTCTAAATTAAGGTAATTATTTTCTGAAATTTATTTGCAAAGTAATACATGAGTCTATTTAATGCTTGTTATGTATACATCCTATTCCAAAGGTTGACAATCAAGTCTGATAGAAACCTATTTTACATTCTGCTGGTAGGAAGAATTAGATTGTTTTCTAGCCACCTGGAAGCAGCACACAGGAAAGAAGCAGGAATTAGCCATTGAATCCAAATGTTCAACAAATGCTATTTCAGCTGAAGTGCCACCTTCCAAAGTGCCTGCACTACTATATAATAAGTGCATTCTAATATAGTAAAAGCTGATTTGTTTTTAGTAGAAAAAAGATTTTTTATTAGGGCATTGTTCTTAGACGTAGCTTTCAATTCGACCAAGAAACAGAGATATCTTTAAATTGTTTACTTTGGGCTTTAATTCTTAGAAAGTCAACTTTTATTGATACGTATTTTTTTTAGTAATAGTTTATTGCTATCTACTGTTATCATAAGGTGTTACCTACACAGTACTAAAACAAGTAGTTGATCTCAGTAGCTCCATTAAAAATAATTAGGTCCATTGATTAAATAATGTTCAGTTAAAATTCCCCTTTAATATTTATCTATTGGTGTTGGTTCTTGGGGTTTGAAAGAAACTGTTGTAGACTCATTTTTAAATTCAATTCTGTGTAATTTTGATGTTTGATTTGTTATTTAGTTCTTTTAATTATTAAGCACCTATTATTTGCCAGCCACTGTGCAGCTTAATTGATATCTCCAAATGGATGTCAATAGATTCTTGAAGTTTAACATATTCCAAATGAAAGTTTTTCCTTTCCTTTCAAAATTTGTTCCTTTATGTCTTACATCAATAGATGGTATTATGAAATCACCCAGTTGGTTAAACTTAAAATAAAAGCAATAGCAAAACCTAGAAAGACAAAATACCTAGGAATCAGCCTTTTTCTCATGGCCCACGTCCAGGCCAACAGTGAATCCTGTTGGTTAAACATCTAGAAGGTGTTTCAGATCTGTCCACATTTCTTCTCCTAACTAGCTAGTTAGTCTAAAACCATATCTGAGGATATTTCTTCTATTATTCTCTATCACAGTATCCTGTTTATTTCCCTCATGGCACCTATCACAAGCTGTAACTAATTACTTTGTGTATTTATTATCTTTCCTAGTAGAATGTCTAAGATCTTTGTCAGTAGGGACTTTGTATCTTTGGTTCCTAGCATAGTGCCCCACAGGTATATTTATGGATTTTATGGAATTCATTTACTGAAAATGTGGCAGACACTACAAAGTGCCATACACTCTTCCAGGCCCTGGGAATATACCAGTGGTCAAAACTAAGGTTCCCTAGCCCTGTAGAGCACACCTTCATATTGGTGTTAACTTTAATATGTTTTCAACGGCATGTCATGATGTTGTTGAGCTCGGGGAAGGTAGTGCATATGCTAGATCCTCTGAGAATATGCATGCCCCCATTTTAGAAGCAAGGGTAGAGAACATGAGGGAGGCAGTTGCTCCGTGGGCAGGCCAGGCCTTGGGTTGAGATCAATGTCATACCAAGAGTAGTACGATGTTAAAAAATGAGTTGTGTATACAGTGAAATTTCATGCAGTCATATTTATAAGCTACATGCTTACAGTGAAAATATTTGAGGCTATAAACTCCATAAGCTTTAGAATCCATTTGGTTCCATTTCTTTGATCTGATATAGACGACTAATTTCCTGAAGAATATCTTTTCTTTCAAAGATACTAGCATATGGTTTATATTAAAGGGATTCTTTATTTAGGAGAGCATTACCCTTAAGAAAATAATCGTTCACAGTTAGTCCAGTTCTCTGTTTATGGAGAAGTAAAATGCGTTCCAGATGGAGGAGATTTATGTAAAAAGAATCTCTCATAATGAAACTTTAAAAACAGGGACTTCAATTTCAAAATGATTGTTTGGATCAGCAGGTACATCTTCCCTCACAGAGTTTTAGTTAGAATCACTTTCTCTATTTCCACAAATCCTTCTTTTCTTTCCTTTTATTTTCTTTCTCTCTCTCTTTTTTTTTTTTTTTTCCAAGTTGACTTAAGCCAGGCTGGCAATTTCCAACTATTATGTACCTCTTGGTAGATAAGTATCCTCCAGCAGTTAAAGCTAGGTAAGGGCTCTAGGCATCCTCCTTACAGTTTGGCGACCAGGTTATAATGAAAGCACGTCCGGATTCTGCACCCTCATATCTATTTATCAAAAGGCAGTTGCTGAAAACAGTTTTGTAAGTTGCATGCAGCCCAGCTCTGTTTAATTTCTCTAACCAAACGTTTACCTGAAAGATTTACTGAGGCAAATGTGACAGTATCAGTGACAGAATATGGTCTGCACCAGGCAACCAGCATCTTCCAGATCACTGGCTGCACACAGCCATTTAGTATCAAGCTCTAGGAGCACCCCCAACAATACAGCCTCCTGGACTTGCTGGAGTCTCAACACTTGTTCCCTTGACCCCGGATTGGGGAGGGTCTATATATATCTTTCTTTGTTTTTATTTATGTATTTATCTTTTTTTAAGGCTCTATTTGAAGTTAATATATATCTCTTTCTAATCAGTCCATGGCTTAATGCCACTCATGTTACCCTAGTGATTTCTAATATCCATTATACTAAGTAATGAGGCCACTTAGTGCATGTGAAAACTCATTTTACTAACAACAAAGCTTCTGGTTTGGTTTGGAGATTAAGATAGCTAAAGCATTTAAGGTGGCCATCTGGCCTTTGGATTAAGTGCTAGCTCATTACTCCTAGAATGGATTTTCTCATTTAGGGCAAATAGCTAACACACATGCATAGCACCCTATCTGTGCTGATGTGTTTTAATGCATACTGCAGATCATGTAATAACTTTAGATGCCAAATTAAGAAGGGGGAAAATATGTTCAGAATATGAAACAAACCTGCATTGCCCCTAAATTAAGTTGCTAACTAATAACTAATCTAGTTTTAGTTACTATAGATACATTATAATCACCCCAGAAAAGATTCTAGAAATCGATGTCAATTCAGAACAAACAAAATTTTTGAAACTAATTAAGATAATTTTCATTTTATTTTCTTCAGGGTATGAAAATATCAAATATCCGGGTTTCCCTATTGCACATTTTGAGTGAAATCCTTAACAAGTTATATTTGATTATATATGAGAGAATTCTAGTTGTCTTTGCTGTTGAGAGCTCTCACAGTACACGTGTAATTTCACTTGTTTCTGGATTGGTATACAATAAGCGTTATCAAAATGTGTAGCTGTAATTAATACACAAGGTACTTGTCACGTTTTGGGGGTTTTCCATGCTTTTGTTTTTACTGGTGAAGTTCCGATTGAATATTCTAAGTACCATAATCTGACCTTTATGCAAATCAATTATGGAGTGGGCATTTTCGGCACAGATTTCTTCACATAATGTTTAAAGATAGCGTTCCCACTTAAAAGTAAAACTCGTATTTTCCAATTTAGTCTAGATGTGTGTTTCAATAAAAATGTTAATTCTGAAAGTATTTATTATAGATGTGAGGAGAAAGCTTTTTTAACTTTTAACAGATATTCTCTCCCCTCGGCCTGCCGCCAAGGAAGAAAGAAAAGTCACCTTTGCTTATCTGGCCAAGTGGCCAACACTCAAGTGACGTCAGGTCCCATGGCCTGCATCTTACCTGATTTGCCAGCGTATCCAACATGAAGGGGAATAATCTAAGTCCTAGATCACTTGGGGATATTCAGTAAAGTTTTTCATTTTTGCTTCTGAAATTTCACTTTGTCAGGTTGTCAAAGTGCTTGGCTATGTCTTGTAAAATATCTGAGTATGAGTGTCATTTAGCTAGAAAGTTGATAATTTTCAACTTCATAAGGTTTTTGTTTTGTTAAAGTGTTTTTAAAATAGAATACATGTTAGTGCTTTGGCTTATAACTGAGATTTATTGGTTACCAAATATATTTTCAGAAATACCGTTCTCTTTTGCCTCCTTCCACACCACAGGCCCCTGCAGCCCTGTCTCCTTCATCATTGTTCTCCATGCATCTCTTCTTTCACTGCTCTTTGCTTGGCCCTTTGCATCTAGCCGAAAGATATTTCACTGGCACTCACTATCATGGCTAGTGCCACTATGGACCCTAGGTGTGAAAAGGACACCAAGCTAGGGAACTGATGAGGAATAGAGTGTTGCATGTTGGTGACTTTGCTTATTTATCTAAGTAAGTGACCACATGTCTGAATTATTTTGGAACATTTCTCTACAGCTCACCTGTTCAGAGGCCCCAAATCTTTTTTTTTTTTTTTTAAGTACAATTTCCATTTTATTTTTCTCCAGAGAATAGTCTGTCTTCAGTCTTTAAGAACTCAGCTCCTTACATGGGCTTTGGTGGGAGACATGGGGCAGCACCCGCAGGTCTAAATCGGGGTGGGGGTGTTCGGTCCTTGCGGGCTTCACGAGATCGATTCCTGACTACTTTGCTGTGAATTGCACAACTCACACGGTAATGTAGCTTCACACACAGCTTGGGAAGCACATAGGCATCGAAGACACTTGCTTCAGAATGCCCCTGACTGCTGCGGCCTCCACTGTGTTTCGAATGACGAATTTCTTAATGGCCTTGTCCTTGGGCATGCATCGGGCACAGTTAGTGCAGCGAATAGCCTGCACGTGGCCGCGGCCCTTTTCAGCACGACCTTTGTTCCTTCTTTTCTTTGTCATCTTGGAGGCACGGACCGGAGAGGAGAGGCCCCAAATCTTAATTTTCTCCCATTTCTCCTTTGTTTGTTTTTGTTACTGAGTTTTTATTTTATAATCCTAAACTTAACTACAATCCAGCTTGATGTCGAGGGGAATAAGGAAACCAAAGAACTGCAGTGAGACCACAAAGATTACAGGATATTGTGAGCAAGTGGGATGGAGGGATGCTCTCCTGAGCTACAGAAAGAATGATTTGGTGGTTAAGATCAAACACAAGCAGATTGATTAGAGTTGTCCGCAGTTGGCAGTGGTGATCTTCTTGCCAGTCTCACCATTCCCGGACCCAGAGCACTCCATGGCTTCCATGATATTCACTCCCTCTTCTCACTTTGCCAAAGACCTTGTGCTTGCCATCCAGCCACTCAGTCTTGGCCACACAGGTGAAAAACTGGGAACCATTTGTGTCGGGCCAGCATTTGCCATGGACAAGATGCCAGGACCTGTGTGCTTCAGGATGAAGTTCTCATCATCAAATTTCTCCTGGTAGATGGACTGGCATTATTATGGTGTGTGAAGTCAGCACTCTGGCAGATAAAATAAACCCTGGAATAATTCTGTGAAAGCAGGAACCCTTATAACCAAATCCTTTTCCTCCAGTGCTCAGTGCACGAAAGTTTTCCACTGTTTTTGGAACTTTGTCGGCAAACAGCTCGAAGGAGCTGCATGGGCCAAAGGAGTTACCATCAACAATGATGTCAAAAGAACACAGTGGCGTTGACCATGGCTAGAGGCAGGTGGCTTCAGGTGGCAGCGATGACTACAAAGCCCCATTTCTCCTTTGAACCTAACTTCCTTTCCTATTTTAATGTCCCGTGAAGGTAGGGAAAAATAAATTCACTAAATATACGGTAAATAACATTTAAGTTTAGATTTTACAGTTGCTAGAATTCAAAGTTATCTGTGTATTAATGTTATCATATTGCCCAAATAAAGAATTAGTTTTGTTTGATGAATTTCAAACTTCTAATTTATTTGAGGTGGTAAAGAAAAAAAAAGGAAATAGTATTCGGAGTTGAAAGCTTAAACCGCATGTTGATATATATATACTTAATAAAGAAGTTAAACATACATGTTGGTGAAAGCTAAAAGTTTATATTACTGGATATAAAGAATTTTTTTTTAGTGAAATGTTTTCTTAAAATAAGAACTAGGTGATACCATATGATTTTGATGAACCTTTCCGCAGAATTAAAATGAGAAGTTTGAGAACGCATTTGCCCAGGCAGTCACGTTGGCCGTGTGTCCTTAGCAGCTCTGTGGTAATAACATTGCCTTTTGACTACTGTCTCTTAAAATAGCAATATTTTTATTAACTCAATGAGGTAGTGTATAGATAATACAGCTGTTTAAAATTATTTGTGGAGAATTTTAACCATCAGTATAACATCAGGACCCAATTTCAGTTTCTTTTTTGAACAGTTCTAACTATTCATAGGATTGATAGCTTTTTAACTTAAATCTTTCTTAGGGGTCTTCCAAAAAACAAAGACAAAATATACTTATTTTTAAAATAGAATGAAGTTCATTCTCTCTTGTAATTACATATGGGTCCATTGAAGCATTTTGTAAATCTAAGATACATTATGGAGTATTAGTGATCTTATTTGTTTCTGTGTCTTGAAATAGTTTGCTGTTTTGTCATCTTAGAAATTGATTCATTATTAACTCATTTATTCTCAACTATGCTAAAAAAAAGAATAAAATAATAAGAATAATGGGATTGCCTAGAAGGATGCTACAGTAATAACTATTGCTTCATCTTTTAATTTATTTATTATATCACCCCAAATATTGCATTGTCTTTCAAGTAGGTATGAAAGAAAACTAGAGAAACCATCTTTGTAGGTTATTTTTAGCTTTTAGTGAACATAGTTGAAAAATCAGAAGTTTTCAATTTCTAGTCATTATGTCAGTGAGAAGGAAATTGACAGAAAAACATTTCACAAACATTGGATGAACCGGAAGATGAATACAAAGAGACAGATAGCATGGTAGACTGTAAAGATGATGATGAAATCAATTATATAAAGAGAGTCTCAGATTGAGTCTCCAGGTGATAGCCTAGAATTTTCTCAAACTTAAGAATTATATATATTTCTAAGGGCAAAAAAGAAACATGACATTAGCATCCAGGTGGTCATTCTGTAGGAAGATTTTCCTTAGTATTTTGCAATAAGATTAAAGAATACTGTTATTTCATCTCTTTGCTAAAATAACAGTATTCTTTAATCTTGTATGATGTTTCTGTACCAATATGTACCTGGATAAGTTTCATAAGTGGACAAATGCAGAAAGCAGGTGTGTATGTGAAAATTGTTAGAAGGAAATAGATAATATAAAATGAGAGAAGTCATTGGGTTGACCATTCTAATTGATGCTTACAAATCTAAAGATGAAAATGTTTTATAATTACAGAGCAAAAAAGATCTTTCTCTTGTCAACAAAATATGAGCTATCAGAATTTTGTATATTCAACTATTGCATTCTGACAATGCAAAGGCAATAATAAGTAAGAGCCTACTGGCAGAAGAGAGAAGGGTGCCTACAGTTGCTATCTCGAATAGCTATTAACCCAGAATGTTGTATCTCTTCAACATAGTAGATGTTACAACTTAGAAGTTGAAATTAGATTGCAGTGTGCCAAGGACTCCTACTCTTTGTAGTGTTTTTGTTTTTGTTTTGCTTTTTTTTGTTTGTTTTTTTCAAGTGAACTTAAGCACAGCACCTATCTTTGAAATACCATTTAGCTTGAAGCAGCTAATGTATGTGGTAAACACTAAGATTGGTAGGCTCGGCTGGCACTGTTTCTGTGAAGCCTTCTCTCCTCCTTTCTCTATGTTCCCATAGCACCTCTGTGCTATGTGTGGAAGTGCACAGACCACATTGTTCTTCAGATGTTGAAAAAGCACAGCCTCAGTGTTCATCTTAAGTTTGGGGAGCATTAGGTCAGCATCTCTTCATGCCAATAATTATATTATTTGTGTAGAGTGCTTATTTGTTTAGCCTATCTCAAAGAAGGGAAAATTTTTCTCCTATTAAAACAAAAATCCAAACAAAACTTTCTCTCCACACCATAAAACAAAACTAACTAAACAAATTGTCAGTTTTATTATGCGACTCTTAATTAACAAGGTCTCTATAGAAGAAAAATACTAAATGCTCACCACTGATAGTCAAGCAGCCTCATAATGATGGATTTGCCTTGTGGTCTCCAGGGGAATTTAAATCATTACCTCAGTAAATTTGATGGCATAAAATCAGTATCTAGGCTAGAGGGCATTGCAGGTTTGGTGACTAACACCATCCTAACTTCTAAAGAAATCCTAAATTCATATCTTTTATTACATTGTCGACTTTCACTGTCACGTGTGTTAGACTCATGTCCAGAGTAATATTGTTTTTGCCATTTGTTTTGATAACTTATGTAGCATCAGTGGTTTTTTTGTTCATGACTTTGTAAGATGTAGCAAGAGCCTGTTTGTCACAAAATGCCTTTGCTTCTTACTCCAACTCCCTCTTGAACACTCCGTGGTTTAGTGGCACTGGGAGCTGGCCCTTCATGGAATGCACCTCTGTTGTGATGACGACATAGTGCCTGAGTATATCAAGCTCGTCAAGTATTTCTTAGTGCAAAGCCGTGCTGTCAGATAACGTGAAATAGAATAGGTACATTTTGGTGGGGCAGAGTTAGGACACTTGGAAAGAGAACCAGGAGTGCTAAAGGAGCTCCTTGACACACACCTGAGATAGAACTTAATCCTGCAAGCTGATCACAGTTTGTTCCTCCTCAAGCAGGAAGTCAGTGTATTCCCAGGGCTCTTCCCCCACACTCCCCACACACATTCCCTTTCACCTTGTTTGCTAGCTTGGTTTGGGTTTTTTTTAATAGGAAAATGGGGTGAGTTCTTAATGAATGCTCATAATATTGAGCAAAAATACAATGGATTATTCATTTTAGAAAGTGATTCCTCTTTTCTTTTTTTAAAATCAACTATTGAGGTGTAATTTGCATACAATAAAATATAGCTGAGGAACTTCTTTAGTAGGTAGCATCCCAAACTGACTACTCATTTTTTTAATATAAGGTAAATATTAATACACTGGAAAAAGTAACACTTTGGGAAGGGTGAGAAGGGCCCTAAAGTCGTAAGTAAAAGGATGGGCAAGCTGCCTGGCACCATAAGCAGAAGAGTGTAAATCTAACGGCTTTCACTTTAATAGGGAAGCATATTTAACTTAATATGTTTATAGTAAATACACAGAATTGAATTATTATTATGTTATAGAATGCTTCACAGATCCGAATGTCATCCTAGCACAGGGGCCATGCTCATCTGTCTAAAACAGATGTTGAGTTATATTTTTAAAATTGGCATTTATCTAGGAGTTCCTAAGATCTCTCCCTTGATTGTTTTTGAAATGTTGGCATACAATAAAATTCACCTTTTTCAGTGTACAGTTCAGTGCGTTTAGATAAATGTGTACGTAGTGTAGTGAGCACCATGCTCTAGAGGAAGAATGTTTCCCTTACTCCAGAAAGGTTTCTTTTGCCTTTGTGTTGTCAGTTCCCTCCTCCTGCCCCTGCCCCTGAAACCACTGACCTGTTTCTGTCCCTAGAGTTTTCAGTAACGTCTGGCATGTCAAGTACATGGAATCATATAGTATGTAGTGCTTTATGTCTAGTTTCTTTCACACAGCAGAATGCTTTTTAGATCCATCCACGTTGTTGGGTGTGTCCCTGGTTTATTCCTTGTCATCGCTCAGTAGTGTTCCATTTTGTGAATATACCACGATTTCTTCATCCATTCACCAGTTGGTGGACATTGGGTTGTTTCCAGTTTAGGGCTATTAAGAATAAAGTGGCTGGGGACATTCATGTACAAGTCCATGTGGATGCATGCATTCCTTTCTCGTGGGTGAAACCCCGCCCAGGAATGGAATTGCTGGGTCATAGAGTAATCTGTGTTTGACGCCGTGAGAAACTGGCAAACTGGCTGTACCGTTTTGCCTTCTCACCAGGGTTGTCTGATAGTTCTAGTTATTCTGTATCTTTGCTAGTCTTTCTTAAAATGTGTAGCCACTCTAGTGGGTATATAGTGGTGTCTCATCGTGGCTGTTTTTACTTAGATTTCCCTAATAACTAATGATAGTGTACATCTTTTCATATACTTGTTGGCCATTCACATATCTTTTGTGATGAAGTGTCTATTCAAATCACTTACCCTGTTTTCTTATTGGGTTGTTTGTCCTACTATTGAAATATAAGAGTTCTTTGTATATTCTGGCAACAAGCCTTTTATCACATGTGTTTCCCAAATATTATCTCCCAGTTTGTGGCTTCTCTTCATTTTCTTTGTGGTATCTTTTGAAGAATAAAAGTTTTAAATTTTGATGAAATCCATTTTACCAGTTTTTAATTTTATGGTTCATGCTTTTTGCATTCTGTCTAGGAAATCCTTGTCTAATTTAAGGTCATGAAGATTTTCTCCTGTTTGCTTTGAGAAGTTTTATAGTTTTAGCCCATGTATTTAGGTATGTGATCTGCTTTGAGTTAAGTTTTATATGTAGTGTAAGGTAAAAGTCTAGGTTCCTTTAATTTTGTTTTGTTTCATTTTGCATATTTTTCAAGCACCATTTATTGAAAAGACTGTCCTTCCTTTCCCTATTAAATTACCTTGACACATTTGTTGAAATGAATTAACTTACATACATGATCAATTCCTGGACTGTCTTCTGTTTCACTAATCTGTATCTCTGTCTTTACACCAATACCACACTGTCCTAGTAAATTTATAGCTTTTTGAAATCAAGTAGTGTGATTCCCCCAGCCCTGGTCTTCTTTCTCAGAATTGTTGTGATTAGTCTAAGTCCTTTTCGATTTCCCAATAAACTTGAGACAGCTTGTCAGTTTCCTCAAAGGAAGCCCTCCAATCCCTTGACTGTTTATATGATGAATAATACTGGTATGTTTACTAGTGTCAGTCCTTCTTAGCAGTCCTAGAATAAACCATTCTTGATCATTATGTTTGTTTTGCAAAATGTTTAACATGTTTAATTTTTTTTTCTTGTTTCTTTTTTTTTCTTTTTTGAGACAGAGTCTCACTCTGTCACCAGGCTGGAGTGCAGTGGTGTGATCTCGGCTCACTGCAACCTCCGCCTCCCGGGTTCAAGCGATTCTCCTTATATATATTTTTATAAGTAAGATATAACCATACCATATTTGCTTTTATTTTGCTTTGAGATGGAGTCTCGCTCTGTCACCCAGGCTGGAGTGCAGTGGCGCGATCTCAGTTCACTGCAACCTCCGCCTCCTGGGTTCAAGTGACTCTCTGGCCTCTGCCTCCCGAGTAGCTGGGATTACAGGCATGCGCCACCATGCCCAGCTAAATTTTTTTGTATTTTTAGTAGAGACGGGGTTTCACCGTATTGGCCGGGCTGGTCTTGAACTCCTGACCTCAGGAGGTCCACCTGCCTTGGCCTCCCAAAGTGCTGGGATTACAGGTGTGAGTCAGCACGCCCAGCTTGCTTTCCTTGTAATATCTTTATCAGATTGGGTACTCAGTGTTATGACAACTTTATAAAATGAATGATGAAATAATCACGATTTTCCTCTTTCCCTAAAACAGTTATGTATAGTAAAGAAATCAAATATTCCTTAGAAATTTGTAAAATTGTTTCATAAGACTAATCCAGCATTTTTAAAGAAATAATTCTGTTTCACTATTTTTTATTTTTATGGGTTAAGTTTTCGGGTTTTTTTTTTCTTGAATGGATTTCTATTTTTCTAGGAAATCATTTATACTATTCAGATTTTTAAATCTACCATTATAGTGCTGGATAGAGTGGTCCTTTAAAACTATTAAAATCTCTCATATTTCAGATTATTTAGAAGAGCTTTTAAAAACTTCTGAATGACTGGGATCTCACTACTTTCTTTTATTAATAATTTCTAATTTTATTATGTTATAGTCCAGGAAAATAGCCTATTCTGTTGCTACTTTTTTGAAATGTATCACAGCCTGTTTTCTTCTTTTTTCTTTTTGTTTGAGGCAATATATAAGATCCATTATTGTAACTAATTCATGGATACTTGTTGTCTTCTTAGTTTATTAGTGTTCATATCCAGTATGTACTTACTTATTTTCAATTTTCTCTTTTTAATTTATTTTCAGGGCAAATTTATTCGGATCAACTTTGATGTAACTGGCTATATCGTTGGGGCCAACATTGAAACATGTATCCTTTTTCATAAATGTATAATCCAAAATAAAGAAGGATTTAGTCTTCCTACAACCCCATGGCAACCGTCTGTGATATCACTCCCAAAATCCAGATGATAAAACTTGAGCCCAGAGATAGCATGCCTTGTTCAAATACTTTCGACTAGTGAATATTAACTCCAAGTTGTTTTGTTGTTTGTAAAACCAGGCCATAACTTATTCACATGGCTGGGGAAGTGGAGAGTGCCACAGTGTTTGTGTGATATAGGACATTCAGATGAATGCAGTTGCCCTCCCCCTATTGCTGTTAGCCCACTTTTTACCATCTACTTCTGATATTAGAAGGATGAGCATGTAATCATTGAAAACATCCTTATAAGATTACAGAGTTAAAGTAATCTCAATTAGTGTTAAGTAGAATAAAGCTGGAGAAAAAAATAAAATGTCAAGTACATAGAATAGTCCTAAGAAATGTCACCTGCATAGAATGGCCATAAGAAGGTTTATATATGTGTATGCACATATATACCCAGGTAAAACACATTTGAGTATAGATGTAATAAAATAGAAATGATTCTGAATGATAGTGTGCCAATTAGAAAGATAGATGACAGTTTTCGGGTACTTAATAGAATAATCTCCAGTGATAGAAATACATTATTTCTATCCTTCAAGGGACAGACCATGATTTTCTGGTTAAGAACAGTATTTTATGCCTCCAAATGGACTCACAGCCAGCAAAATCTGGAAATACTTGAAAATGACAGGAGAATGAATCTGCAGTTCAGCTTTCTTCATATAGGTGTGTCAGAGCATGATTCATATGAGTGTGTCTTTCACCAGACGTGGAGGATGTGTGGGATAGTCTGACTTAAAATTCAGGCTATCTGACACATACAGAATTAATTTACTTTGGTGGCCCCAGGGAAGGTTTACCTCAAGAGAGGCAAACATCTTCCAAAGCTGTGATACACGTTCTCTGAGATGCCGGTGTGACTGTCAACCCATAGGAACTCCGGGAGCATCAAGAACTGTGGATCTGAGCCCCAGATAAGATACACAGCTGGGTGTGCAGTGGTCTGAAATGCAGGAGCTGCTGGGGACTGTGCCACCTGCCCCCTGGGAAGCCCAGGCAGGGTGGGTAGCAGCAGGCGTAGGTACTGGCCGCACCGGTTCTTCAGAGCAGCAGAGGGAAGACTAGTGCTTAATCTCATCGTAGCTGTCAAGGCATATGGGAAAGTTACATGTGCTGCTGAGTGTGAAGGGCGAGTGCCTCTCATATAGGAGGCTTTCAATAGGGTAGCATTGTGGGCACTCTCATCATGCATTTTGGAGTCAAGCCAAGTTTTTGGTTCCTAACTGTACCACTTATTAACTATATTATTTTGACTAATTTCCTTATACCATGGCTTCCTTATTTATAAAATTGTGTTAATCTGGTATTATAGAGCTTCTCCTGCCTTAAACAACTGTACTTCATTTTCAATAGCTTCTTACAGTTCCTCGTATAGTGTGGTATTCTTTGAATGTAATCCAAGTTAGGGGAAGGATGGGGTAGAGTGGAGCTGAGTGAGGGAAGCACGTATAATCTTTAAGTTCCTTCCCAGACCAATGATTCTGGAAGATCAGTGAGGAACGTAAGTTGCACCTATTTTCTTTTTTCACAGATGGAAGACAGTCATTTAGAATAGTTCATTGCAGGATAGTTTATATAATAATCAGAGAAAGAAGATGTTTTATGATTTAAATTTACAGACGCTGAAAGAGGGCCTTTATTTATTTAAGAATTATATTAAATAATTTAATTCTTAACTGTCTTTGCTCAGACCTTCTGGAAAAGTCTCGTGCTGTTCGTCAAGCAAAAGATGAACGTACTTTTCATATCTTTTACCAGTTGTTATCTGGAGCAGGAGAACACCTAAAGTGTAAGTTACAAAGGTTTTTACTATTTTATATTCACTGGAATATCTCTTTTAATTTTTTTTTGAGAAAAAACAATTTTGGGAAACAGTTTTTTACACACAAAACACCAAATTTCCAGCTGGTTAAATCATGAAAATCAAAATGAAATTGAACTTCCATGCCATGGGGTAAGTACTTTATTTTAAGCGGCAGGTATTGTAGATAATATAATCTTTTGTACTTTTATTTCTTTTTTAAAATTTTTTAAATTAGAAGACAAATGATGCGTATTTTACAACTCTGTTTCAACGTTTTAAAATATGAAAGTAAGGGAAAAGAAATTTACCTAATGAAATTAAGTAGAATAAATATTTTTATTTCTAGATTTACAACTGAATATATGTTATTGCTTCCACTAGTACTAGAAAGAGCCTGTGGTGGATATTGATTGATTGAATGTCAGGGATCACAAGGACTAGAAGTTTAGAGTTGGGCAGGTACAAAGGAGAGCTCAGGTCTGGGTCAGAATTTTGCTGGGTTAGAAATATATTGAGGGAGAGGAGAAGATGTATAACTTTCCCATCTCTTCTGATTCTCAAATTTAGTGTTTCTGCATGATTATTATATATATTATCTAGATATCAAAGTAGACACATATACAGTAAAAGTTTTCTCATCTGGCATCCAGGCTTTTGCTAACCACAGACATCTGTGAAACCTTTGAACCCAAAAATTAATCAGAGAATGACCTGCAAGGGAAAAATCAAGCAACAAAAAAATAGAGTTATTGCCAAGGAGAGACTAAAAATTCAAGATGATGCAGTATGTAACACTGAAGAGAAGAAAATGCTCAGGCTTTCAGACTGGCAATAACTGCAATAGGAGTAAATTCTTTTTTTTTTTTTTTAAATTTATTATTTATTTATTTTTTATTGATAATTCTTGGGTGTTTCTCACAGAGGGGGACTTGGCAGGGTCATAGGACAATAGTGGAGGGAAGGTCAGCAGATAAACAAGTGAACAAAGGTCTCCGGTTTTCCTAGGCAGAGGACCCTGCGGCCTTCCGCAGTGTTTGTGTCCCTGGGTACTTGAGATTAGGGAGTGGTGATGACTCTTAAGGAGCATGCTGCCTTCAAGCATCTGTTTAACAAAGCACATCTTGCACCGCCCTTAATCCATTTAACCCTGAGTGGACACAGTACATGTTTCAGAGAGCACAGGGTTGGGGGTAAGGTCTCAGATCAACAGGATCCCAAGGCAGAAGAAGTTTTCTTAGTACAGAACAAAATGAAAAGTCTCCCATGTCTACTTCTTTCTACACAGACACGGCAACCATCCGATTTCTCAATCCCTTCCCCACCCCTCCCGCCTCTCCATTCCACAAAGCCGCCACTGTCATCCTGGCCCGCTCTCAATGAGCTGCTGGGCACACCTCCCAGACGGGGTGGTGGCCGGGCAGAGGGGCTCCTCACTTCCCAGTAGGGGCGGCCAGGCAGAGGCGCCCCTCACCTCCCGGGCAGGGCGGCTGGCCGGGCGGGGGGCTGTCCCCCCCACCTCCCTCCCGGACGGGGTGGCTGCCGGGCGGAGAGGCTCCTCACTTCTCAGACGGGGCGGCTGCCGGGCGGAGGGGCTCCTCACTTCTCAGACGGGGCGGCCGGGCAGAGATGCTCCTCACCTCCCAGACGGGGTCGGGGCCGGGCAGAGGTGCTCCTCACATCCCAGACGGGGCGGCGGGGCAGAGGCGCTCCCCACATCTCAGAAGATGGGCGGCCGGGCAGAGACGCTCCTCACTTCCTAGATGTGATGGCGGCCGGGAAGAGGTGTTCCTCACTTCCTAGGTGGGATGGCAGCCGGGTGGAGACGCTCCTCACTTTCCAGACTGGGCAGCCAGGCAGAGGGGCTCCTCACATCCCAGATGATGGGCGGCCAGGCAGAGACGCTCCTCACTTCCCAGACGGGGTGGCGGCCGGGCAGAGGCTGCAATCTCGGCACTTTGGGAGGCCAAGGCAGGCGGCTGGGAGGTGGAGGTTGTAGCGAGCCGAGATCACGCCACTGCACTCCAGCCTGGGCACCATTGAGCACTGAGTGAACGAGACTCCGTCTGCAATCCCGGCACCTCGGGAGGCCGAGGCTGGCGGATCACTTGCGGTTAGGGGCTGGAGACCGGCCTGGCCAACACAGCGAAACCCCGTCTCCACCAAAACCAGTCAGGCGTGGCGGCGCGAGCTTTCAATCGCAGGCACTGGGCAGGCTGAGTCAGGAGAATCAGGCAGGGAGGCTGCAGCGAGCCGAGATGGCAGCAGCACAGTCCAGCCTCGGCTCAGCATGAGAGGGAGACCGTGGAAAGAGAGGGAGAGGGAGAGGGAGAGCGAGTAAATTCTTTAAAATGATCAAAGTGTTGAAAGAAATAGAAAAAGAAAGCAGCAGGCAGTACCCTGTAGAAGTTAAATGTGATGTAGACAAGAATAACGGGACAGGGTGACCTGCAGAAATTCTCTGCAGGAGAGCAAGAGAGCCAGTCACAAAGAAAGCTGGGAGCATATTTGCATATCTGTTATAACGATAAATAGCCCTGCTATTTTGAGCACTCCTGAGAAATATTCTTTGGCTCTCAAGAATGCATTTGTCAAAAGAGTAAGTTCTCTTTAATTCATGTCTCCTACGGTACAGTAGTCAGTGCGGGTACCTGTTACAATAGTCTGCTGCGCCACATCACATCATCATTCTAAAGGCAACTTAACCACCAAGCAAGCTGGCTTGGAGAAAGTGTTTCAGGGCCTTTGCTGGGCTCGGGACGTGCTTGGTCCACATCACTGTATCTTTAGCTTATGTCCATGGTAGTTTTCATATTCACTTCATAGTGTTTGCTGCAAACTACTTGCTAAGATAGGAATATAGAATATGAGTTTAAAAGCTTTCCTTCAAAAAAGAGGGCTAAAATATTTAAATCTGAAAACAATAGAGTTTTGTCATCTGGACAATTGACATCATTTCGCAGATAACCAATTTCAAACAGAATATTGTACAAACTGCCATCCCCAAAACTCCTGTTAAGGTTTTTGCGTTGTTAACATCATCATTTTCCTTTGTTGGTACAGATAATTAAAAAAATGTATGTTTGTGTATTTACATGAATATATAAAGAAAAAAAACATTTTGCTGGCAATGGGTTGCATGGTGACCACTGCTCTCCTGTGACACTGGCACAGTTTGAATGCAGTTATGGCTTAGTTGTCTTCATGAGTATTTATCAAATTTTCTTCCATTATATTTCCTTTTAGCTGATTTGCTTCTTGAAGGATTTAATAACTACAGGTTTCTCTCCAATGGCTATATTCCTATTCCGGGACAGCAAGACAAAGATAATTTCCAGGAGACCATGGAAGCAATGCACATAATGGGCTTCTCCCATGAAGAGATTCTGTGTATGTGTGATTTCTCTAAGATTCTGGTACTCACTTTCCTAAGACTTATACATCTGGGGTAAATCACCTAAACTAGAAAATGACTGGGAAACTAATGAATTGTATGAAATCCTGAAAAGACATGTCTTACTGAAAAGTTTTGTATAGCTAATTTTTAGCACAAAATAAATGAGAATATGTCTCCGCTACATTTTGAGGCAATATTAATTTTTTTTTTCTTTTTATCAATATGAAGCAATGCTTAAAGTAGTATCTTCAGTGCTACAGTTTGGAAATATTTCTTTCAAAAAGGAGAGAAATACTGATCAAGCTTCCATGCCAGAAAATACAGGTAAACTGATGAATACTGACTTTATTTCTGTTTCGATGGCTTGTTGTGCTCTCTAAGAAGGTGTTACAGTGCAAGCGTAAAAGCACCTCTGAAGCATTTCTGAAGGGACCCTTGAGTAGAGTGACAACATCGTGTATTTACACGAGGGTTCCTCTGATTCTATAAATGAGGACAGGGGACAGGGTGTAGGATGAAAAGGAGCAGTGGTCTCTGCCTTAGCATGCAGGAGGCCTTGGGAATTGAGGGAGGAGAACTCAGCCGCAGGAGGTCACACACTTACCTGAGAGGGTGGTGCAGCTGCCGAGTTCCAGCCAGTGTGCACCTTGCCAGGATTACAGGCCCAGTATTGCCAAATATAAGTGACTTTTCAAAGAAAAATGGAAATCTAGATCTTAATAGGAAATATTCCCATTTTTAAATGTCGAAAATGGTTTTAAATTTGCATTGGTCAGGAACAAAAGTTTGTGACCCAAATATATATATATAATATATTATTAAATATATATTTAATATAAATATATAAATATAATATGGATATAAAGTATATATTTATTAAATATATGTATATATAATATACATATATATTATATATATATCAGTTTGCTTCAGATGGTCTGGAGAGAAAAAGTGAGGAATCTCTATATTGCCTTGACTGCTTGATTATTCTAACAAGTTAGTTATCTTGCCTCATGGAGGCATCCGCAGTCCACTGTGGCGGGTGAAGGCTGACATAAAGTCACATTATCTGCCCTTGAAATAATCGTTTTTTATAACCAATTTGAGGCTTGATAACAATTTAATTCTGTGTGGCTCTTCTAAGGGGCCTGCCTCTCCTGCTGCTTCTTGGTCACCATTTTCTGGCCAAGCTGTGGCACCTCCTATTAGGGCTGTTGATTTCCAGGACCATTCATCTGTCATTCAGTCAAAGTAGTTTGATTGGCGGTTGGGCCTCCATCCTCCGTATGGCTTTTCCATGGTTAAATAGACTTAAAATGGAGCCATCTAAAATGCAGAGTAAGGCATATATTAGTATAGCTTGGCTTTGAAATTTTTTAATGACCCATAAATAGAGGAGGATCAGGTCACTCTTGTAAAGGTAAGGAGGCTGGGCATAGTGGCCATGTAGTCCCAGCTACTCGGGAGGCTGAAGCAGGAGGATGGCTTGAGCCCAGGAGTTCTAGGCTGTCGTGCTATGCCCGTCGGTTGTCTACACTATGTTCAGCATCAGTATATGGTAGCCTCCCAGCAGTAGGGGACCACTAGGTTGCCTAGGGAGGAGTGAACCAGCCCAAGTTGAAAATGGAGCAGGTCAAAACTCCCGTGCTGATCAGTAGTGAGATCATGCCTGTGAATAGCCACTACACTCCATCCTGGCCAACATAGTGAGAACCTGCCTCTAAAAAAATGAATAAATAGGCAAGGCAGTCAAATGCTGACTAGCCATCTCTTGTAGCCTAAAAATGAGTGTGTATTAATTTGAAAAGATGGAAGGTATTTTTCATTAGACCTAAAACTTGTCTGATTTTAAGACTTTTATTTATTTCTTAATACAATTTAATTGTTACTAAGGTTTTTCCAGTGTTTATTGAATATATTGTGAGTAGATTGTAAGTAAAAAATGTAGGATTTAGGAGACTTTTTACACTTCAGTTGCGCAGAAGCTCTGCCATCTTCTTGGGATGAATGTGATGGAGTTTACTCGGGCCATCCTGACTCCCCGGATCAAGGTCGGCCGAGACTATGTGCAAAAAGCCCAGACCAAAGAACAGGTAGGTTTCATGTTCATTGTTATTACTGATTTGTTTGAATGATAAGCCATGGCCATTTGGCCTTCTGATTGACATGTAACAAACTGAATCAATATAAACTGTCTTACATGGGTGTTTTTAGGTACTAAATGAGTTTTTTTTTTTTAAGTATATTTACTTTTTCGTTTTCGAAAAAATTTAAAAGGGGCCGGGGCCGGTGGCTCACACCTGTAATCCCAGCACTTTGGGAGGCTGAGGTGGGCAGATCACCTGAGGTCAGGAGTTTGAGACCAGCCTGACCAGTATGGTGAAACCCCATCTCTACTAAAAATACAAAAATTAGCCGGGCGTGATGGCATGCGCCTGTAGTCCCAGCTACTCAAGAGGCTGAGACGGGAGAATTGCTTGAACCCAGGAGGCGGAGGTTGTAGTGAGCTGAGATTGCACCACGGCACTCCAGCCCAGGCAACAGAACGAGACTCCGTATCAAAAAAAAAAAAAATTTTTTTAAAGGTGATTTTTTAAAAAAAGTAAATGTCAAATTATAATCTCTAGTTTTCCCCAGGTAGATAGATAATCCAGTAGACAAATCTGCATACTTCGGGAACCAGACCAACACAAGGGCCCCTGCCGCCTTGTCCTTGTGCTGGGTGGTACAGCAGAGAGAAAGTACCAGCTTAACTGAGCTGAATCCAGGCGGACAGTGCTACCCAGGACCCAGGCGCATGGGGAGGAGCTTATTTTTATTAGGCGTCTTTACCCATCCCCCAAATTCGTTATTCCCTGTGTTCATTTAATTCTTCTAATATTGCCTTCTATTGATGTGTAAAATTGAGACATGATTAAGCAGTGAATGCCATCTCAGGTTTTTTGAGTGCTGTATAACATTAAATTCCGTAAAACAGCTATTTATGCTTTGTTGAGATTGTTTCCAGAATAAAAGGTTGTTGTGATTTAATTACAGGCAGATTTTGCAGTAGAAGCATTGGCAAAAGCTACCTATGAGCGGCTCTTTCGCTGGCTCGTTCATCGCATCAATAAAGCTCTGGATAGGACCAAACGTCAGGGAGCATCTTTCATTGGAATCCTGGATATTGCTGGATTTGAAATTTTTGAGGTATTCTTCCCCCTCTTCCTCTAGCTCGTCCTTCTTTTTGTTTGTTCTTTTAACAAATATGAAGGCTTACTGTGTGCCCAGTACATACGAGGCACCAGGGATACAGTCCCTGCCATTCTAGTAGAGCCAAACAATAAATGGCAAATAATCAGTGAATCCGCAGGTCTGTGAGAATGCACTGAAAGGGTGCTGTGATAGAACTGGGAGGCCAGCTTGAGATAGCTGTTCAGGGAAGGTTGCTTCTGCATTGGCAACAGTTAGGCTTACTTGAAGGATGAGAAGCTGCCAGCCTCGGTCAGTTTCCCGGCATAATGAGAGTAATTCCAGTGGTCCTGTATGGGACAGAACTTAACAAATGTTCTAAGCTGCTAGAAAGCCAGTATGACTGGATATAGCTGACCAGAGGGAGAGAGGAGTTGGAGACGTGGAGAAGAGCATGGGGCCAGGTCGAGAGACCATCAAGGGGGCCACTGTAGTAGAACACGGGCAAGATGACGGGGGCTTGGCTGGGGAATCAGGAGAGGAGCAAAGTGAGAGGGAGGCACCTGGACGGGCAGTGATCTGTGTACTGCAGATATAACCAGGGTTTAACAATAGATTTCACTGTTGATCTGACTAGATTTATCCAAATACTTACTCATCATCAATGCAGAAAAGTTTCACAGTCACACACCTGCTACGGTGTTTCAGGGAGGTGCATAAAATTTGGGGCATCTAAAAATTTATATCTTTATTTCCATAAATATAGATGTAAACTATGTAAATATAGTACGGCACAAATATTAAGTGCTTTTTGTGATCATCTGTGTGTTACTGTAGCCACTATTGGGTATTGAATTGTCTTATTTTAAAATGAACCCCTTTAAAATTATAAGTCTATCCTCATAAATACTGAACCTGCCACTGCCACTCTAAGAGATTGCTTTAAGGTGTTTTGATTTGTAAATATATTAAGAAATCATGAAAAGTGGCTGGGTACAAATTGCATTAAAAAAATCTGTCACTTTCCTCTACATAAACGATCAGAAGATATAGTGAAAGAAAAGACCCACATTTCCAACTGCAACAAACAGACAAAACACCTAAAAATAAATTTTAAAAGAAATGGGCAAGATTTAAATGAAGGCAACTTTACAGTGCTGCTGCAAAAAAGAAAAGAAGACTTGAACAAGTGAGGAGACACACCCTGTTCTCGATGGGAAAATGTGACATTTATGTAGATGGTAAAAATGCTAAGTTGTTCAGTGAGTGTTATTTGTCATGAGAAAAGGAAAGAAAAAGCCTAAATGCCCACCTTTAGGAAACTGGTTCAAATTATTGTGATAGCTCCATACAGTGGAATACTATGCATCCATTATAAAGAATGGGCTGGCTTTATACACTAAGGAAAGATCCCACAACATAACAAGATACATTGTTAAGTTAAAAAAAATCAGGGTCACACACATACACACATTTCTTAATGCATAGCATATTTCTGGAAAGATCACAAAAATAGGAGATACTGGTTGATAATAGGGAGAACAAGTAAGTTTCATTGAAGTGAAACTGGTGCAATTCTTTGTACACTTTGAATTTTCTACCATGCATTATTGATTTAAAAATCAATTAAAATTATAATTGGTAGTTTAAATATGGAAGACAAGTAGAAATTCATTTTTAAAAATACCATTCTTGGCCGGGCGTGGTGGCTCACGCCTGTAATCCCAGCACTTTGGGAGGCCGAGGCAGGTGGATCACGAGGTCAGGAGTTCAAGACCAGCCTGTCCAAGATGGTGAAACCCTGTCTCTACTAAAAATACAAAAATTAGCTGGGCTTGGTGGCAGATGCCTGTAATCTCAGCTACTCCGAAGGCTGAGGCAGAGAATTGCTTGAACCCGGGAGGCGGAGGTTGCAGTGAGCCAAGATTGTGCCACTGTACTCCAGCCTGGGCAAGAGAACGAGACTCCTAAAAAAAAAAAAAAAACCTTCTTTGTAATGGCCCAGGCTAAATAGAGCAATAGGATGTCATCATCCTGAGGCAAAGCAAAGTTCACCTACATGAACATGAATAAGCAGAATCCGGCAGTCTGTAAATATGAGGCTTGTCATGCGTGCCAGAAATACAGTGTTGAGCAAGGCAAGCACTGCCCCTGCCCTCCTTGCATGACCTCATTCTGAAATAGTGAATTTAACAGCTTCTGGAGAATGGAAAAGATTGGAGTGGCTTTTTCAGACTGTAAATCAACTCCTTGGAGATGGGTTAAATCCTCTTTAATTGAAAATCACTTTTTATAATGAAAGAGGTTATTTATGGGCACATGCAGCTGTGTGAACAGTATAGAAGCAGGAAAGAGGTTGAGCACTTCTAGTGTATAGGATGATTAAGAAAATTATACCTATTAATTCACCCATCTATGCATTCGCCCAATCAATTTTTCTCTTAAAAAATGGGCAGAGTTCACAGAGAAGGAACAGAAATGACAATAACATATGAAAAATGCCTAAATTCACTTTATGAGGGCAGTCCAATATCACTTTTGGTATTGCAAAGGTCAAACATTTGATAAGGGAAGGGAATGCTTAGAGAAACGATAGAGAGTCTCATACTAAGCGCATTCCATGTGCCAGGCCTGGCTGAGCTCTCAGCAATTCCATGCAGTAAAGATGACTCTTTTCCTACCTCACCTTAGAGCCCACAGCCTGAGTGACAGTGGAGTGGGACAGAACCAAATGCATTCTCCACCCCAGCTTCAGAAGCGCGCCCACCACCTTGTTCGCCTTCCTTTGCCTCTGGTTTTTCCAAGCCTTTGTTTTTCTTCTTTTTCTTACTGTCTCATTTATTTATTTATAGTCCTTAACCATTCACTAATAAGAACTGAATTGTTTTACTTGCAGAGCATTCAGTTAGCATATTAAGTTTATTATCTTTTCATTTTAGCAGTTCAGTAATGCAGCCATAGACAGTATGTTCTTTCTCTTTACCTTTTCAAAAAGGCTGTGTGTGAGAGAGGGATTGGGAGACCACCCCCCTTGGTTTAGTCACTGTCATTAGATAGAAGCAATCATGTACTTCCTACCTAATTAGTAATGTTTAATGAAAAATTTTTTTATAACTACATAACTAATTATTCCCATTTTCCCTCCACCTCCCCATGTTTGGAAAATTACCCTTTGACATTTGTAGCTGAACTCCTTTGAACAACTTTGCATCAACTACACCAATGAGAAGCTGCAGCAGCTGTTCAACCACACCATGTTTATCCTAGAACAAGAGGAATACCAGCGCGAAGGCATCGAGTGGAACTTCATCGATTTCGGGCTGGATCTGCAGCCATGCATCGACCTAATAGAGAGACCTGTAAGAGTGCTCACTTGCTCGCTGTCTTTCATTTTCCACTCAAGCAGTGACCTTAAGTGGCATAACCCAAGACAGAAATTACCCAGTCTGTTCAGTGGTGAAATAATTTTCTGATCTAAATTTTCTAGGAAGGTGATACTCTGATAAAATAGCTACAGAATTTAAAAGTCAGTAGCATGCCAGTAAAACCCTTCTTTAGCTCTCCTCGCAGCTTGATTCCTGTCCTTGCTTGCATGGGAATACTGGATAGTGGGCTCTGGCTCGCACAGACTGCAGATGGCCCTGTGCGCTGGCATTTGTGTGTACCTTTCAAAGGATGTGGAGCTCCACCTGACACTTTATTTAGCTGAGAACAAGACGTGTCACGTAAATCCATTTTGCAGATAACTAAAGTTTGGCCTTTTAAAGTACAAAGATGTTTTTATTTTGCCAGATTTTTTTTTTTAATTTGAAGTTTTTGTTCTCAGGGAAGTCTTGTCAGATGTATTTTTAGTGGCAATCTTAGAAAGCATCAGAAACTCTTTTCTTGGTGGTTTAATGTTCTGTAAAAATACATAGAACTCATTCACGTTCAAGCTTCGAGTGTATAACTCATTCACTTTTGGAACTCAGCTCCATGTGATCTCAAGCAAGTGTTGACAATCTGGTTCTGTACTCCTTATCAGTTAGCTTTTGCTCAACAAGGTGTCAGCTTCATTTATTTTATTTTGCTATCTGCCAAAATATAAGAAAAACTAAAACATGATTAACCACCGATATCTGTAACGTAGAGGAAGCTCTAACACTAGTTAAGTAGGTATGTTTGAATAACGCAGAGTTTTCTCCTAGGAGGTGCAGCAGGCTTTGAAGCAGTTCTGGTTCTTGCTGCTCAATCTCTGGTTGCCACTTGTGTTCTTCATGTTTGAAGGTGTTGGAGGTCTAATGGCTAGAGATCATGGATGGTACAGTACCTGCAGTCAGGAGGAGCAGTGGCACATCGGGAAGAGGAAGAACCTAGAAGACATTCACCCCTATTAGAGATGTAGTTCCAGCACATTAGAAATTTGAGTTTAAGGAAAGCAATAGAAAATTTTCATTTGGCTTTTATAATACATAAGAAATCATTTTACCTTTCAAGTCACGTTTAGAGCAAAAATCTTAAATTACTTATAGTTGTGAGGATAGTTGCTTCTTTGTAGCTTATAGGGTCATTTAGAGGTGGCATGCTTGTAGTGACTTCCAGGTAACTTGTGCATACACAAGCACATGAACACACTTCATTACATTTCATCACTGCTTTGTTGCCTAAAGAATTGTTTGGGCATTTATGTAAATAAGGGAAGGGAGTATTTCACATTAGTACTATTGATGACTATATGATATGTTTTTTGAGATGCTCATTATATGCGTCCATATGACACTGGAAGTCCTACATTTTAAGAATATAATGATTATGTACCTGCAGTTTTATTTTAGGATGGACGAGAACCCATAAAATTTGCTAGGTCAGTATCTTTATAGGAATAATTGTGCCGAAAGTCTTCCAAATGGAAAATTACCTGTCTTAATTTTTTAAATGTTTTTAGAGTGTTTTTAAATCTAATGGTTTTGTGACCTTTAAATGAGTCTCACAAATATTAATTCTTCTTAATGTTACTTAATTGCATTTCTTTTGCTTTATCCTCTAGGACAAAATACTTTATATACCATTTTTGCATATTTTTTTTTTACTCTCACACAATAATTGTACTCTAAAGGTGAAAATCATGGGGTAAAGTAATTAAACATTTCAACCCTAATAACCAACTCCAAGCAAAAATAGGTGAGGTAGAAGGCCAGGTGCTGTGGCTCCCGCCTATAATCCCAGTACTTTGGGAGGCTGAGGCAGGCAGATCACTTGAGTCAGGTCAGGAGGTCGAGACCAATCTGGCCAACATGGTGAAACCCCATCTCTACTAAAAATACAGAAAATTAGCCGGATGTGGTGGCATGTGCCTGTAGTCTCGGCTACTCAGGAGGCTGAGACATGAGAATCACTTAAACCCAGGAGGCAGAGGTTGCAGTGAGCCGAGATTGCACCACTGCACTCCAGTCTAGGCGACAGCGTGAGACCCTGTTTCCAAACAAAAAAATAAATAAGTGAAGTAGAAAGGGTTTGATGTTTACATTTTTAATTATTTTCCAGGCCTTATGTGTAAATATTGTGGTGGTAGAATAAGATCCAGATAGCAATTTATTGGACCAGGTGTGGTGGCTTATGCCTGTAATCCCAGTGCTTTGGAAAGCTGAGGCAAGAGGATCACTTAAGACCAGGAGTTCGAGACCAGCCTGGGCAACATAGTAAGACTACATCTCTACAAGAAAGTTTTAAAATTAGCCAGGTATGGTGTCATGTGCCTGTAGTACCAGCTACTCAGGAGGCTGAGGCGGGAGGATCCTTTGAGGCCCTGAGTTGGAGGCTACAGTGATACGGTCACACCACTGCCTTCCAGCCTGAGTGACAGAGTGAGACCCCATCTCAAAAAAAAAGAAAAGAATTTATTAAATCCTCAATTATGGCCTGGAAATGCAGATTGGGGGTGCCATGGGGATATGAGATAGTATATAGCATGGCCTTGGTCCTCAAGAACCTGATCTTGAAGCCAGAAAACAGAACACAACATAGTGGTGAGCTCATTGGTTCCTGGGTATGACTCTAACTGATGCTCTGTGAATTCGGAAAAAGGCAAAGGCCACAAAGTAGGCTGGCAGTGTTGTGGAAGGTATTACAGGCGTGGATGCTGTGCAGGGAGCATTCCAGGGATGAGTTTTATGGTCAGAAATCAGCAGGTGAACAGCACGTTGAAAGTGGTATTTTAGGGAAGTTATTTGGCGAGTGTCCTAGTCTGTTTTCCGTTACTATAACAGAATAAGTAAGATGGAGTAATTTATAAAGAAAAGAAATTGATTTCTTGTAGTCTATAGGCTGGGAAGTCCCAGGTCTAGGAGCTGCATTGGATGAGGGTATTCTTGCTGGTGGGGACTCTTGGCAGAGTCCTAAGGTGGCACAGGGCATCACATGTTGGGGGGGCTCATAAGAAATGGCCAAACTGGCTTTTTTATGACAGACCCGCTCTCATGATAACTAACCCACCTCCTCAACAACCCATTGATCCATGAATGAATTAATCCATTTACTAGGAAAGAGCCCCATGACCCAGTTACCTCCCAAAGGTCTTATCTCTCAACACGGCTGCATTAGGAACCAGGTTTCCAACATGTGAACTTTCAGGGAACACATTGAAACCACAGCAGCCAGGGCATTCAGAAAGTATTGGAGCTGGGAAGTCATGATGTTCCTAGTCACCAGTTATGCCCAGACACTGACGGGCAATGAGTAGAACTAGGTAACTCGTTCCTTCTTTCCTTCCTATCCTCTTTGTACTGGCACTTCTAGGCTCTTCCTTCAGCCTTTAGAGTGGACCCTTTATTCCCTGCCTAAATAGTCCTAATTTATAGGAGAGATAGCTCAGAAAGGGGAGGGAAGGAATTCAAGATTTAATGCTGACTCACTCTTTACCTCAATTTGAGGATTATTCTACTTATTCATAGAAATATCTGATTAAAAAATAAAAACATGGCCAGGCACAGTGGCTCACGCCTGTAATCCCAACACTTTGGGAGGCCAAGGCGGGCAGATCACTTGAGGTCAGGAGTTCGAGACCAGCCTGACCAACATGGTGAAACTCCATCTCTACTAAAAATACAAAAAGAAATTAGCCAGGCGTCGTGGCGGTTGTCTGTAATCCCAGCTACTCGGGAGGCTGAAGCAGGAGGATCGCTTGAAGCCGGGAGGTGGAGGTTGCAGCGAGCCAAGATCGCGTGACCACACTCCAGCCTGGGGGACAAGAGCGAGACTCCGTCTCAAAAAATAATAATAATAAAAAATAAAAACATAACATTTTGTAAACCCCATGAGAGTTTATGATGATGGGGAATTTAACGACAGCCTGTGGAATGACATGGGATAATGATCCCATTGATGTTCCTTGCAAAATGGAGAGTGAAAACAATACTTTCTAGAAGGAAAATGCTGTAAAAACATCCTCTGTGGTGGCACCTGACAGGCCCGTGCCAGGCTTAGCTCATCTCGCATAATCCCAGCCCCTGCCTTGCCAGACTGTGGGCTGGTGGCAGGCAAGCCTCTGAGTTCACAAGCTTTCACAAAACCTATGACCAATATTCAGAAACACAGGCTTCTAAGCTTACAGCTCTTGGAAATACCCGGTTCAGAGAAGGAATGATAATAGAGATCTTGACATTGAAGGATGAAGTGGAAAAAATGAAAAGGAGACACAGTAATGATATTCATGATCATGCTGTCACCAAGTCATTTAGAAAAAAATACAAATTTTTATTTGAGATACTGTGTCAGAATTTAGGAAAATTCTCATTAAAAGTGGTTAAGAATGTAAAAGGGTAAAAGGAGGATGTTTTTGTTATATTAATATTAATGTGGAACTTCCTTTCTCACAGTTGTTGTGTGATTAGGGTGGATTGAGTTACCTGCCACTCTGAGCTCCTCTAAAGTGACCTAATCCCAGTTGCTTCAGATTACTGTCTTCTTTTTAGCTGATCTGAAACCCTGACAATTCTTTCAGGTGGAGGAGCCCTGGGGTAAGGGTCTCCATTGCAGAAGGGTTCCCTCAGCTTCCACCCGCTGGCATTCAGATCACCCATCCCTTTCTCTGACCACTTTATTACACTGTTTCATTTATATTTAACCATAGCCTCTAGCTACTTTTAAAAACAGCATTTGTGTGTATTGCCAACTCTTTGCCAGTAAATATGAAAGCTTTGTGAGTTGATGAGAACTGATCTTAGAGTCTTACTCAAACAGCTGATTTCATGAGTGTGCCCTAGAACTGGTACGAGTTCAGTTTTGTATCACACACTTGCCATATTTGCAGTGTGACAATAAATGATGGCCCAGAAGCACTAGAAAATAGACCATCACTATTTAAATATCTTATTTAGCTTTCATGTGTCATTTACCTCCAAAAAGGAAGTCACTCCAGACAATGGTGAGCTCTAGGCCTTTTTAAAAATTGAGACATAATTCACAAACCATGAAATCCACCCTTTTAAAACTACAAGTCAGTGATGTTTGTAGTATATTCACAAAGTTGTGGAACCATTACCACTACCAAATCCTGCCACGTTTTCATCACCCCAGAAAGAAACCTCATACCCATTAGTGGTCACTCCACATTCTGTTCCTTCAATCCCCGGCTGCCACTAATCTACCCTCTGTCTCTATGGATTCATCTAGCGCTTTTTTTTTTTTTTTGAGACAGAGTCTTGCTCTGTTACCCAGGCTGGAGTGCAATGGCACCATCTCGGCTCACTGCAACCTCTGCCTCCCAGGTTCAACCGATTCTCCTGCCTCAGCCTCCTGAGTAGCTGGGACTACAGGCATGTGCCACCACACCCAGCTAATTTTTGTATTTTTAGTAGAGGCGGGGTTTCACCATCTTGGCCAGGCTGGTCTCAAACCCCTGACCTCGTGATCCACCTGCCTCGGCCTCCCAAAGTGCTACTTTTTTTCAATGAAGTAATAATTGCATCACATAAAATGGGTTGTCAAATGCCTGTTAAAACAAATATATAAGGCAATTGATGACTGACTTAGTTTATCAATTTCCATATATTCTACTTAATAATAGTTTAAAATATTTCGCCAAATATAAAGTGATACATTTAATTTAAAATTACTTAAACAGAAACTTAAACTGATTAGGATATAAAATGTTTGAAGCATTCTCATTAGTTGAGGTGTTATAATGATTTCTCCAGCCAGTCACTGAACATGAACATTCAGTTTCATCTCTCCACTTCCCACTGCGTTTCTGGCTTCTTTTATTTGCCACTTTTGTGGGGCCATCTGCTTGGAATTCATTTACTTGCAATTTACATACAGTATTTGTAAGTTTGAGATAAGTTACTCCTCTGTTTTCTTGTTAGTACTTATTTAGCAGTTTGAGATGTCAGTGTTTGAATTATAAACTTGTTATGGCTTAGACATTCCTTTCCATCCTAGCAATTTGTTTTCCATGGATCTTCATAAAACTAATTGTTTTAGAAGTTTAAGTGCCAGACTCAGTAGTATTAAAGTGGCATGCAAAACTTGTGAATTCTTATTGCCTGTCATTATCAGGCGAACCCTCCTGGTGTACTGGCCCTTTTGGATGAAGAATGCTGGTTCCCTAAAGCCACAGATAAAACCTTTGTTGAAAAACTGGTTCAAGAGCAAGGTTCCCACTCCAAGTTTCAGAAACCTCGACAATTAAAAGACAAAGCTGATTTTTGCATTATACATTATGCAGGGAAGGTAAGAGCTCTTATGTTGAATAACTGGATTAAAATGGCTGTGTTTGAAATTTTGCTACATTTTTATGAAGGTGTAACAAAGGTGCTGATAAACATTTATAAACAAATACAGTATATATTACAAACATATTGTCTTTCAGACAGCCCATTTTGGGGACTGTTGTATAAAAGTTTCTGGTTGAGGCTTAAAGTGTTTTTGTTTTTGCATTTGGTTTTGTGTTCTCCATTTCACCACTTTTGGCTTTGGTGCGGGATAGGTGGACTATAAGGCAGATGAGTGGCTGATGAAGAATATGGACCCCCTGAATGACAACGTGGCCACCCTTTTGCACCAGTCATCAGACAGATTTGTGGCAGAGCTTTGGAAAGATGGTAAGAAAGTGCTTATCTTTGTAATCATGCTTGGCTGGAATCTTTTATAATTAAGGTTTATAGATGGTTCTTTTACATATATATGGATACATATAACTTCTTACTTTAAAATCTTTCTTTCCCTAGAGCAGGGCTGCCGTTATATCGGAATTTATCCGTTTTAACAATACTTGGGTTAAGAAATGAATACAGAGACAGCTACCTTCTTGGTCAGATGTTGTAGGAGTACAGAAACATTCTAGGCCCGGAGCCACAAAGACGTACACGTATGACTTAGGCCACCACAGTCCCAAGTCAGTTGTAATCCAGGAACACTGGAACACAAAACCCGAGAAGGCCTGCTCATTCCATTTTCCCTGTGTCAGGCCTGCTGAGCTCCGTCCTTCCTCACCACCCGCACCCGCCGCGACACCCAGTGGCTGGTGGATAAACTCAAATTGCCTGCATACAGATCAATTGCTCTTCTTTCCATCAGTCCTCATAGTTCTTTTGTTATATGAACCTCAGTTGAAGAATTTTGGTGATTTTTATTGTAGACTAGAAGATTTTACTAGTATCAGAAAATCAAAATGTCTCTGTGTCTCTATGCATTTTAGGAACCAGTATCTTCTCCTAGAGCTCAGCTCACCTGCTACATTTCATCCTGGCTCTGTTCCACCTCTTTGCCTGGCTTCAGGCCATGCAGGACCTTAGCCCTGGATCTAACCCTGCCTAGACCTTGACCCTGAGGCCAGACCTGTTCAGTAACCTGGGTCACATCTGCTTTCTCTGTAGCATCTTAAGCCTTGTAATCTAGCTGTCTTAGAGGTAGAGGGAAAGGAATGGAAGCAGAGAAGGGCAAATGGAAGCAGGCAGGCTGAGGGCAATTGGGGCCAAAGGAAAGAGACAGGAATTGAAGAATGGACACAGAGAAAGTGACTAGGGGGAATGTGACCCTATAAAAGATCATCTTAAGAATGACTGTGTCCATCAGATCAAGTCAGTGTGAGGGAGCTGCAGGGGGGGATGCACTGAACACAGGCACGCATGCGTCCTGGGAGCAGACTGTGGGCCTGAGACATAGCAAAGAGGGGAGGGACCTGGGGGAAAGACGAGCTTTCCAACAAGTAAAACAGAAGCCTTTAATCTTTGTACCTTTAGGTGAAAGTCTTCAACTGACTACTGAGTGCAGTGTCACTTCCAGTGACCTAGTCAGTCGAGGGATGCTGTGTGAGGACTGGGAAGAGAAGCAGGGAGCTGCAATAGAACTTACAGTATCCTCAGAGTTGAGCTCCTCTTCACCTTGTCAACAGGCAGTGTTAAGAGTGGGATATGAGAAACTGAGACGAGAACAGAAAAAGACCTCTGAGCTCAGGTTGTTGTTACGGGGTCTACAGTGCTAGAAAGGCCAGCGCTGGTGAGTTGGAAATGTGGATGGGAAATATGTGAGGAAGAAGAGGGAGGAGTAATGTTGCAGTCGTAAGGATTTGCATTCCTTCAGGAATCACTTCAGCTGTGACAGTGTTGGAGACTGTGTAGGTTACAAAGTCTCCCCATGTTCAGCTTCTCCTCTGGATACCCTTGTAAGGTCTTAGAACACAGCAGAAGGAATGAGATCAGTATGCAAAGTGGATCTGTGATAAATGCCATGGGAATGGTACAGTGAATTTTTAGGGGTGTGCAACAGAGGAAGGGACTACCTTTTTCTGGGGCGCTAAGGGAAAAATGTCATGATGAGAGGATGCAAATTTTCCTTGTCCTTAAAAGAGAATAATGATTTGTTGATTAAACAATGAAAGCTAACATCTCCTGAGCACCTACTAAGTGCCACACAGTGTTTTCAGCACTAATTTATGAGCATTTATGGCCCGGTTATGCCTTAAACGGGTAAGAAGGTTTGCATGAACTGACTCTAGGAGTGAGTGTCTGGGGTGGCATTTGTAGAAATGAAGTTGGCAGGAGAAGAAGTACAGAATGATCACAGTGGAGAGGTGGAAAATCATAGCTCAGGAGGAGTGTTCCATTTGGCTTTAGAGAGGGCTGGGGCAGAGAAGAGTGAGCAGGAAATGAGGCTGGGATGGTAGGTTGAGGCTAGACTGGAGAGTCCTCATGTCCCATCTCTAGTGGAATTTGGACTTGAGACTGTGCTGAATAAATAGCATCAGTAGGTTTGTGACCTTGGGTAGTGACCCATTCTGAATTCGAAGAAGTGAAACAGGCAGTGTGTTTTGGGTAGATTGGAGTGAAAGAGCCTGGAAGTGAGGAGTTGAATATGGGGCGACTGAAGATGACAGTGGGCGTGGAGATGATGCCTGGGAAACAGGAACAGAGGAAATGGGGTTTTTCCTGGTTTTTGAAAACAAGCCTCAAAAACTGGTTTTCTCTTCATTTTGAAGGAAAACAGGTATTGGGACTACTGACATTATAAGCATGGAAATTAAGTCCTTTATTACATATTTATTCTGACACTATGAACCCTTTTTTAGTCCTTGTCTTATATCCCTTAACCAAAAATGGTGTTGGAAACACCTGTTCAGCACTTGACCCATTTGTATAATTCTACATACCTAAGTATGTGCTTCCCATGGCAATAATCTGTGAGCTAGATCTGGAAGCAATGAGAGACATGTCCCCTGCCTCCCAAGAGCTAGTGATCCAGTTGAGAAACCAGGATATACACAGATGCATTACTAGAACTGAGCTAATCTTTTTCTTGGCTCCCAGCTTCCTACTTCCTCCTTCCTTTCTTCTTTAATTTAAGGTCTCACCAGCCCCAGATACTGGAGAGGGCTTTGGCAACAATAGGTCAGAAGCTGTAGGTATATAAGATTTGGTGGGCAAGGATGGAGGTGGGAGGCTGGGATGTCATACAAATTACAGATCACAGATGCTATGTCTTACAGGTAGGACCCTGTCTGGAGACTCCTTACCTGCACTTTTGTGTCTTCCATTTAAGAGATACGGGAAAGTTATTGATTTCATTACAGAAATGCTTAGAGGAAACTGTAAGCCTTGCTGAGCTCCTTCAGCCCTGGTGTGAGCCCCATTCATCTGTACTTAGTCCACAGCTCTGACTCACAGATGCCATGTTTGCACAGCCCTATTTATGGCCCTTGTCTTTCCAGAGATATGCCGTTGGGAGTGCATTTGGCCATTCTTGTCAAAATAAGCCAAGGGATATCTTATCTACCCCAGGTTTGCTTTGGCTCTGCTAGCCTCTGCTCTGGAATACTCCTACATGTTTGCTCTCCTGATAATGCTGCTCTTAGCAGGAGGTGCTGTCGCTCTTCAGCTTAGGTGGACAGTTAGTTTCATCTGAGTGACGGAGAAGATCTCAGAGGCCACTCACTGTTGGGAGGCACTGTTCTTCAGGGTGAGGAGCAGGCAGAGAAGCAGTACCATGTTTGTCCAATTTTGAGGACAGTTTGTTTCATACAGAAAGCAGTGGCAGGCACAGAAGGTTAAAGAGGGTTCTAAGGTGGAGGATTTATCACTGCTCACTCTGGATAGAGAGATCGCAGGATAAGGGGAGCAATTTTTCTCTAGAAAAATAACCCTGGAAAAACATTATTTTCCTCTTTTTAGAGCCACTTAAATGCAAAAGCAGAAAACGACAAGTTGAACATGAATAGATGAATATATGATATATGAATATAGTTTGCCTGTGAAGGTGCAACACCTACAGTATGAAACATTTTGTGTTAAAATAGAGTTTATGGCTGGGCACGGTGGCTCACGCCTGTAATCCCAGCAGTTTGGGAGGCTGAGGCAGAAGGATCGCTTGACCCCAGGAGTTTAAGACCAGCCTGGGCAACACAGCGAGACCCTGTCTCAACTGAAAAAAAAAAAAAGAAAAAGAAAAAAAGTAGAGTTTGTGTTAGAGTTTTAGAGTTTTCTCAAGGCCAAACCAGGAGAAATAAGATTTATTGGTGGCAGCCCTGCCCTAGAGATTTATAATGCCCTACTTTTTGCTAAAAGATGTTGTTTGGGATCTCTTTACCAGCTGCAAAGGACTTCTTGGCACTTCTTAAAGCTTATATTGAGGAAAAAAAAAAATCCTAAAGATTGCATTTTCATGTCAATGTACCTCCTAGGATATTTTCATGAGTAACAGTATGATCAATAAGTATAATCTCGCTTATAATTCAAAATTATTTTAACATTTTGCTACAACAGAACTTGAATTTTGTTTTCCTTAATGGTAGTTATCTGTCATATGGTAATTTGTATTCAAATTATTTTTCGGAAATTATATTTCCGAAAATCTGTATTAGAAGTAAAATTAATTACACAGCAGCGTAATTTTTGACAGTAAAAGCCATTGATACTTACATTCGCCATAGTGCTGTGACTTCACTGCAGTCATGCCCTAAGCTACTAACGATAAGATATTTTTACGATAGACAACTCAAATAGTGCCTTATTCCTCATAAATGTCATCTTGCATTTACATGGGCTAATCATTTGACATTGATATCATATAATGCTCACACCGGGAGTTGGGAATGTGCTCTTTTGATTTAGCATTAATCTATTTTATAAAGAACTTTATCCAAATGTGCAAATTCTCTAAACAGTCATGTTTGCATGGGATCTGCCTTGGACTAGCTCCTTTTGTAGCCCGATTTCAAAGTTGACTTGTGCTGTCAAATGTCTTTCACACTAACTGAAGTGTTTGTGTATTTGCTCTTCTGTCCTGTTTTTGCTGTTTCTCTGCTTTAGAGATTCAGAATATTCAGAGAGCTTCTTTCTATGACAGTGTTTCTGGTCTTCATGAGCCACCAGGTGAATGTATAAAGCCTGTAGGTCTTCCAAAACAGAAGGGTTTTAAGCCCACAGGAAAAACGTGTGGGGGGACTGGCAGGGTGGCCGGGGAGGGCGGGGGTAGACTGGGGGCTGGGGTGGGCTTTGGGTTTCTGTTTTTGTTTTGCTCATAGGCCTGCATGAACCTTTCATTTCATGCTCAGTTTTATTATACTTCAAGGCAAATGTTTGAGTGCATAAGCAATTTAATTGCTACTGCCTACACATTGCTTCTTATTTTATGCATAGCACTTATAGCACCGCATATTAAAAGGTATGCCACTACCTTTTCCAATAGTGCCATTGTGATACACAGTCCTCTAAGGAAATTGTTAAGAACTGATCTGCTAAATGACATCTCCTTTGCTTTTGAGTCACCTTTAAATTTTCAACTCTGAGGAATTCCAAGGAGGATTTTTTTCTTGTATTTAAGACACATTTTGTAGACAAATAATTACATAGCTACCTCAGGTGTGTTGGTCTCATCATTATACCTTTTGTTTGGAATTTGTGTGCCTATCTGGCTACTTGGCCTTTTCTTTTCAACCAGAGGCCCTGAAACTATCTACAAGGCCTGATATGTGCAAGTTGAGACTAAAATAGAGTGGAATGTTGTCAGAATTATACATTGAACCTTAAATTGAGCTCCAAATGTTTGGGCTTTGTGATCTGAATCCTCAGCCCTGTATTACAATACAGCCTAACTACAGCTACAGAGTCTCCAAAAGCCCAATATAAAATGAAGCCCACCCAGCCTTCCGAATGTTTAGTGAAACTGGCAAGTAGCGAAACTCAAAGATAAATTTATCTTATGAAATTTCCTTTATGATTTTTGGAACATGATAATGCTGAGATCCAAATCCATCTCAAAAGTTATATTTAAAATGTTAAAGGGCCATGCCTATTTTAATCCAACTCAAAATTCCTGCCATCACCTCTAGTTCACATACTATGAAAGAAGTAGACTGCAAGTATGGAGTGGGAGGAGAGAAAAGATTATGCTAGAGACAGCATAAGCAGGAATGAAAATTCTACGGAACTCCAAAGGAAGAGATCTCTAAATTCAGTCCTCTTTGGCGTTGGGGAATGCTGACAGTGTTGAAATGGACGGGGGAAGCTTGGAGGTAGTTTTCAGCTATAACCTGGGACTTGTGCTTTATTAAAGGTTAGTGCTTGATCTTTTGGACTTTCTCCTAAAGTGAGTGCCCTCTTTAGATGAATTCCCTTTGGATTTCTAACCTCATAAGAGAATTTCAGGCTGTGAGCTCTTTGAGGGCAGGGTCAGTGCCTGGCTTTGCTCACTGTCATTTCTGCAGCACCTGGCACAGAGGAGGCAAAACATCACTAAGTCGCTGAGAGAGAGCTGATGGATGGATAGGGGGTGGCGACCCCACACCCATTTTCAGCCCCAGCAGCTTCGCCTTCCATTCCCACTGTGACCACCTAAAGCACGGACACTCTTTCCTGTGGGAGCATGATCTTTGGGGTGTATACACCAGGCATTTTGCTGTACCAGCAGCATCCAGCCCAGAGCCTCTCTTAGATGACTTCATGCTAGTGAATGAGCAGCGGGGTGGCTCATTCCCCTCACTGTACCCTCACCTTGGCACTGAAAATGTTCCCGGTTCTGTCTCTCTCTGTGAGGTGTCCTTTGGTTGAGTTACTTAGCTGAACCAAGTACCAAGGATCTCAATCTCTGCTTCTCCTTGGAAGCCCATCCATCTACCAAGGCCAAATATGTTCTTTGAGATTGTGTGTAATAGTTTACAGCAAAATCGTTTTCTCTTTAATGCGCTTATGGATTCAAGACCACCACCCCAGAGAGGGCTAAGGGATTTTAAAACGAAAATGTAGGACTTTAATATTTCCAGTGATTTCTTGGAAGACAATGGATGAAGGAGTTTCTAGGGATCCAAATTGTGATTGCCTGTGACGTGCTGACATATGGTAAGCACCTCTCTAAAGCAGGTGACACAAAGCTGATAGGACCCATGTGCTTAAGTACATGTGTAATGATGGGAAGATATCATTATGAAGAGCATGCAGGCTTCTGGGACTGGAATAAAGAGAGATTTGCAGAAAAATCACAGGACAAGTACAGAAGAGAAAGGAACAGGGGAGAATAGGATTCCTAGAGGCAAATATGGAGGTCATATAAGTTTCTGCTATAAAGTCAAGGACTGTTTTCTTCCAAGTATATTTTGAAAGTCTGGACCTCAGAGATAAACCAGTAGTGGAAGATGCAAGCAGAGTGAACCAGCAAAAAGGGGTTGTAACCTGAAAGCTACAGGCAGGGCTTTTGGACTAAAGGGGTGATGGGTAATAGGGTAATTGAGACTATCAAAGGCTTTAGACCTGATCCAAAGCATGTTGGAGGTACAATTATGTATCGTTTTCACTAATGCTAGTTTATACCTGCACCTGCAATTTCCTTCATAGAACAGCACCAGTTAGGCTCTTTGAACCTCCATGTGTGCTAGATTGCAGCTGACAGGTCCGGAAGAGTGTACTAGCAGAGCAAAAATTGGGGAAAACCTGAGAAGTCCAGGTAGAGTCAAGTATCATGACTGATAAGATGGTACCCATTTAATCTCCATATAGATTACATCCATTGATCATAACCTCCATCTCAAGTCCCATTTTAGAATCTGTGGTTTAGGTCTGACATAGTTTACGTGTTTAAATTGTTCTCGCTTTCAATGGATGAAGGTTTTTGTTGTTGCATTATATTCTCCTCCTCCCTGTTTTTTGATCTTGAGTGTTAGCAATAGTTGGAAACTCACCGAGGAGAAGCAGCGCTTGGGTACTGCAGTTTGAGTTCCTGAGGACAAGTGCGGACAGCAACATTTAGTTCTCAGGGTTACTGTGAGTATCAACTGAGGCAACGTGAACCTGAATGCGTGGCACATGGGGAGTGCCTGAATGTGTGGTGTTGTAGAGTTGCCATTGCCGTGGCTGCATCTGCAGCAGCTGCTGCTGTAATTACAGAACAACAGAGAAACCCGATAAATGTTTATTTCCTTGGCTTTCCTTAACATAAGTCTAGTATCGCTCATAGTGTCCCAAGGTACAGCTGATAGGCCGTGGTGCCAGGCTGCCCAGTCTCAGCATGAGTTGGGGACATGGGACCCCACAACGGGAGAAAGCGAGCGCAGAGCACAGTGGAAGCTGTAGGCAAAGAGGGGCTTCCTGTCTGCCCAGCGCCTTAGATGGCCTGGCCGAAAGGGATAGGAAGGTAGATGGAAATAAGGGAGACATTCAAGTTTGGCTTGAGACTAGTGCTTGGGATAAAGAAGATTGCTTTCTCCTTAAATCATGTGCTTCCTGTCAACCTCTTAACTTCCTGGGGTTTTTCTAAAAATTTCCCAATGCTAGAGTAATTAGCAGATCGGTTCTAGCAACTAGTTATGTAACCACTGTAAACTTGTTATTACAGTACCACGTAACAGGGATATTATGGAGACAGACTGATGTGAAGATCGTTTCTGCGAATTCATAATAGTTAAATATATTTGTTTCCAAATTGTTTATAACAGTGACATTTTCATCTATATGAGGGTGGAATTGTCTTACCTTATTTAAATGAGTATTGAGAACCTGCTCCATGCCTCACACAGTGCTGGGCACTGGATACCTTTCATGAGGAGCGCGTGATGCTGCTCTCAGTCATCAGCATCTGGCTGTTGAAATTAACATTAAATAGGTTTCTTCCCCCTTTTTTGGTTTCCAGCTATATTAAGTAGAATGAATTTCTGAAGATCTAGCTTAAATACTTGAAAGTAAATTTAGTAACACTAGTATTTTGGCCCATGCACAGATTTGAAAAACATAAAAATCTTATGGCCCCGTCTCCTAGATTATCCCCTAGAAGGGCCAGTTAAGGATTCGGTACCAAGCGATGCCATTCCTTCTATGAAACTGTTGGTGGCAGTTTCATGATGAGATAGACGACACGTTGCATTTTCTCTCTTAAAGCTATGCGAATATGTCCTCACAGATTTCAGTCTGGAACTCATCTAATTTCTGACTGTTTAAATACATTGTTATAGATTAGTAAATTAGGTGTTAGAAGAAAATACTTTTCAGGCTTCTAGAACCAAGTAATGAATTTAAATGCCCCCCAGCAATCCTAACCAGGGTCTCCTGACATCTCAGATAGAAGAATTTACAGTGCAAGAATAAACAAAGCTAATCTTTACCCTGAAACTGTGGCTGGAGGAAGGGCACTTGAGATTTAGAAGCAATATTAGGTCTTCCAGTGAGGCGCGCCGCCCATTTCAAGGAGCTGCTGGAGTCTTCTCTTCGCATTTTCTGCCTTTCTCTGGTTTCTGCTTTGATCAACAAGAAAATACTCTTAAAATAGAGTTTTTTCGGGTCTTGATTATTGAGTGAAATCATACATTATTAGTGTGGCTCAAATCATTTAATGAATTTCCCAAAGTGTTTCTCTTTTACCCACAAGATGATTTTGTTGGTGGAATCTAACCCTGAGTTTAAAATGTTGAATTAAAAACGGCTGGGCGCGGTGGCTCACGCCTGTAATCCCAGCACTTTGAGAGGCCAAGGCGGGCAGATCATAAGGTCAGGAGTTCGAGACCAGCCTGGCCAATATGGTGAAACCCCATCTCTGCTAAAAATACAAAAATTAGCCAGGCATGGTGGCAGGCACCTATAGTCCCAGCTACTCAAAAGGATGAGGCAGGAGAATTGCTTGAACCCAGGAGGCGGAGGTTGCTCTGAGCCGAGATTGTGCCACTGCACTCCAGCCTGGGTGACAGAGCAAGACTCCATCTCAAAAAAACAAAAAACAAGAACTGAAAGTCTAAAGCATTATTTTTTTTAATCTGAATATTTAGCTTTGGATTGTCCGTATTAAAATTAAATTTGAAAATCAGGATTATTATGACTATTTATTAGTTACTATATTTTTAAAAAACCACACACACAACACTGACAGCAGATTGTGTTTAAGAACTGCCCGTGTAGGCTAAAGTACTGCACAACCAGTGTAATTGATCCTTCCAGAGTAACATGGTGCTCTTCCTCTTTTGTTGTAGTGGTGATTTGTTCTTCTGGTAAACTTCGTGCAAGTTCACTTAGCAGATATTTATTAAATAGCTACTGTGTGCCCAGCACCAGGCACCGGCCAACATCTGGGGCTGGGAGATTGTCTCCGCTGATGGTTGGGGGGCCAGAGACACCATAGGCACAGCTTTCGGGGCCCTGAGTATGTAAGATGCTGGAAAAATGTTCCCTGGGGAAGCTCAGTCCAGTGAGAAGAAGCACAGAAACAGTGTGGAAGTTCTGTCCCAGGGATTTGAAGCCTAGAGAAGGGAGTGGTGTATTTAGCTTTGGAGGCAGGGTGAAAACCGAGCATAAGAAGGGTTCCCTGAGGTAGCTGGTAAAGGAATGGAGATTTAAAAGTATTTAAGCATTTGCCAAGATGACTGGAGCGGGCTGGGCATTCCAGGCAGAGAGAAAAGGATGGAATGTGAAGTCATTGTGTCTTTGGGAAAATGCAACTAGTTTGTACAGTTGGCCTTTAGGGGCATGTGTGAAAGGGACAAGAGAGGTGCCTTCGTTGAACACTTGAATGTTTTTCAGGCTCACAACTCTGAAGCGTGGTCTCCTTAGCTCCATTTCAAGAGGAGGAAATTGAGGCTTAGAGAAATTGGGTCACTTGCCCCAGAATCACCCAGCTCATGAGTGTGGTGTGTCTGACTCTGAGTGAAGGCCATTGCTATGCTGTACTACTGAGCTGAGTTATTTGGACACTATCCGACAGGCTGTGGGAGAAACTCAAGGATGTTAATACTTAGTTTTGTCTTTTAGAAGTGGCTGCTACATTACACAGGGACAAAAGGTGTAAATGAAGGAAACATGTAGCACTACGGGTAGAGGATGAAATGGGGGAGAAGTGCAGGATCCAGGTCAGAAGCAGGAGCCCAGCAAGGGCAGGGGAGAGGAGGGTGGATCGATGACATCTTAACTTTTGGCTTGACCACTTTTGGTCAGTGGTTCCATTGGATAGGAAACCCAGGAGGAAGAACAGGACAGAGGGTGGATCTGTGCTTGGGTTTAAGACTTGGGCCTTTGTCCCCTCTCCATATCCTTTTTTTTTTTTTTTTTTTTTTTTTTTTTTTTTTTTTTTTTTTGAGACAGAGTCTCGCTCTGTTGCCCAGGCTGGAGTGCAGTGGCATGATCTCAGCTTACTGCGACCTCCGCTTCCTGAGTTCAGGCAATTCTCCTGCCTCAGCCTTCCGAGTAGCTGGAACTACAGGTGTGCACCACCACGCCCAGCTAATTTTTGTATTTGTTGTACTTTTAGTAGAGACAGGTTTTCACCATGTTGGCCAGGCTGGTCTCAAACTCCTGACCTCAAGTGATCCTCCTGCCTCGGCCTCCTAAAATACTGGGATTACAGGCATGAGCCACTATGCCTGGCCTTCATTGCTCTTTAACTCCTCCTCCTCTGCTGAGCTCCTTGGGGATGGTCTTAGGCCCTCCATCTCTTTCTGGTCTCCCCTAGATAAAAGTTGACAACTCCCAAATTTACCTTTCTAGTTCCAACCTCTCTTCCTAGCAGCAGACTGGAATTTTCCTCTTGTCACTTGACATTTCTCTTCCACTTCGAAGTCCCCCAGGCATCCCAGACTTACTTAGAGTTTGGGTCTTGTCTTCCCATCCACAAAACCCACTTCCCTCCTTGTCTTCCCTACCGCCACTCGGTTGCTCAAGCCAGAACCCTGGCAGTTATTCTTGAAATGCTCCTCTGCCTCACTTTGCATATCAAGTTCATCCAAGAGCAAGCCAGTCCTCCCACTAAAATACCTGTTGAATCTTCCTTCTCGATCTGTCTTTGTAATCTCACTAGCTCCAGCTGCCCTCATCGCCTAGACCCTGGACTCCTGGAAGGGTCACCTGTCTGGCCTCCCCACTTCCACTTCTCCCTCCCCCTTCCCCAGGCCATTCTGCAGGCAGCAGCCAGTGCGAGTGTCATAAGCTCCTCCTCACACTGGTGCCTCCTCCTCCGTGCTGGCCTTCCTTCGCTTCTTCCTGCCCCTGGTCTTTCACATATGCTGATTGCACCGACTGGAGTGGTCATCTTCCCACAGGCCCATTGTTAATTTTGGGGTATTATATGGCATTTCCCCAGAGAGATCTCTAACCACTCATTTCTCCTATGGCATCCTGTTATTTTCTTTGAATGCATTTCTCACTCTTTTTAATTACAAAGATATTTAATGTTTACATAATTTATCCACTGACATGTATATATGAAGTATGTTGGTGCCAGACATCATGCAGGGAGCAGGGATGCAACACTGAGTCAAAGCAGACATGCTAGGATTGAACAAACATTTGTAGAAGGCAGAGGCACCTTTGTGACATCTGAGTGGAGAGTAGAACACAGGTGTTTGGCAGCTGGCTCTGGGTGGTCAGGTATATCTAGTTAGAGTCATAGCTGAGATCACCTGGGTTGGGAATATGGCTTGAGAAAAGCAGAGGGCCAGTGTCAGCATTTGTATTGTGCCTTATTCTAGAAGGGTTGCAGATGAATTGATTTGGGATCCCAGGCGAGTGCCATGAGGTACAGGAAAAGCAGAAGAGAAATCATCAAGAAACATGGGACTGAAGTAGTGAGGGGGAAGTAGGGTACAGGAGAAGGTGGAGCTCCTAAAAAAGCCAGGAGTGGAGAGTTTTTACAATGGTGCTGTGACATCACCAGGTAAACGTACCAGGGTCAAGAAAAACAAGCACTGGGTGGTGTCTATTCATTTAGCAATTGACCAGTCATTGCCTGAGTAGTGTTGGGCAGGAGAGGAAGAGGACGGGCCATAAGCCAGTTGGCTACACACTGGGAAGTTAGTGGGAGAGGATATGGTGTAGCAACGGTGTGAACTACTCAAGAAAGAAGCGTGGCTCTGACAAGAGAAGTGGGCAGATACAGGGTCAAGGGAAGATCAGTATTTTATGGGGCCTGCAGAAGTGGGTTTGTGCCGCTTTCTGCTGGGGCAAGTGAAGAGGGAGAGGTTGAAGGCACAGGAAAGAATGGTGGTCTCTGAGGTAGACAGTCTCCAATGCACAAGCAAAAGAGGTAGCTCTGACCCACACCCTTGAATCTGGTAGCTTTGCTTGGAAGCAGTTGTAGTGTAGTGTGCCTGCATGGGCCTGGAAATTAAACAGCTTTTACCCGCCCTTCTCCCAGCTTCCACTGAAGACCTGCATAACTTGAGCAGTTCACTTTTACCTCCCGGGGTCTTGGTTCTCTTGTGTTAAAAACCTCATTGGAAATTGATAATTGAATGAGATCTTGCACATAAAGCTCTTCATACAGTGTCAGGTCCCCATATGCTTCTGTCAAAGGAAACAAATGAAAGAAATGAGGTGTCCATTAGGGTTGAGGAGGGCATTAAAAAGGGCAGTTCAGTTGATAATTCTGATTGATTTTAAAGTATTTGAGTAATGTGTTTCATTCATTTAACTTCTTTTCAATAAGAGGATATGTACATTATGCACCAAATGTTTTGCTTGTGGCTGGTGTACTGTTTATGGTCTCATCATTAGAAGTACTAGGTCTTTGTGGATAATGTAAAACTATCGGTTGCTGTAACAAGGGAATGTCTGACAAGTTTAGCCATTGAACACCTAGGAAGCTTAGTCATTTATCTTTTCAGAAGAGTCCTTCCTATTTTGTGTTCTTGCCCTTTAGTAAGTGTTATTCATGTTTTGAGAAGAGAACTGAAGCTTACACATTGCTAAAAATCTGAACTCCTGTAATCTAATCTTCCTGCATTTGTTCCTAAAACTTGAATGACTTTTCTCACTGAATATCTAATGACTAATAAGAGAGAATTCTGGTCCCTAGTCCCTGAGGTTATTTGTTAAGTGGATTTGTACAATCAGATATTCTTATATATATTTTTATGAGCCATTTCCTATTTGGAGGCCTTTCACAGTATCAGTTTGTATGTATCAATAATGCCAGCCAATGAGTTTTCATTTTCCAAATAATTGTAAATGTAACAGTCAGAATGTTATCCAAGACAGTGAATTCCTGAAACTAGCGCAGCGGAAGGCATCTGCTGGTGTGTGTTGGTGTGGAGCTGTCAAAGCACTACAGTATCCTGCCATATAAGTGTGTGGCTGTTAGTTCCCGGCTTGTGCAGTGCCTAAGTATGCTGACTGC